>NC_000006.12:162343517-162495032 GCF_000001405.40 Homo sapiens
GTAGACTACATGGTGGCACTAGTGGTGGATCAGGTGAAGTATATTGGATATCTGAGACTAGATGGGGTTTTTTTAAGTGTACTTACATAGGATCAAACAACATTTAACTTTCTGAATATGCATTTAGTAAGTATAAGGCACAAGTTGTTTCTGTACATTCATTTTCATGGAAGGGGTGTGTGTGTGTATGTGTATGTGTGCAAGCATGCTCACAAGTGTAGAAGACAGGGATTATAGAAGTAAAATAATAATGCAAGATATGCAAAATTTAAACAGTTAAAATTTTAGGAAACCTACATGATTTCTAATGTTGCAAGATAAGAAAGCTTCTGCTAAAACCAACATATACAAAAACGTTACTTATGAAATACTTTTGTAGAGATTTCACCCATGAGCAATAGAAAAAAAGGAAAGTTATTTAATATATTAGAAAACCCTAAGAAACGTGGTCTGTGGTCACTCCCTCTCTGGCACCTTTACCACAGTGATGACAGAGCTATGCGGAAAAGAATTTCTGTGCCAGTTCAGCCATCTGCTGTTGGCTCACAAATGGAGTTAACAGTCTAAAAGGAAAGTTTGTTTTGAGGTGCCATTCCCATGTGCATACAATCCACAAACTGCAGTGTATAAACGTGGCTCAGTCTAATACCAAGTTAAGACTTGGTTTTTTTGAAGAGCATATTGCACAGCATTTTCTGGAAATGCTCCCAATATTAGATACATGTCACATTCGCATAGAAACATATGGTCTTCAATGTGCAATCTCAAATCGTCTACAGAGACTCTGCAATCAGAGATTCCCTGTTTTACCTTCCTTTTATAAGTCAATTTTCACTTAGCAAACTATCACACTGTGGTGATTTGGAGGCATTATTTTAATTCCTAATGTAAATTTACTTTTAACAGATGTGATTCTATGAATCATATAGCAGCATATGATATTAGTTATTAGCTGAAATGATGCCAAGGGGTGTTACGTGCTGGAAACTAGAGCAACTGAGCCAAACCAAGGTCACCCCCATCACTGCCCTCACAGCTGGGTCAGGGAGGTCTGGCCTGGCCCTTGTCCATTCTGAAGGTTGAGAGAAAAATGGCGTCTTTATGATGCCCCCTGCCCACCGAGATACTCAGATATATTTCGCCCTGTCCTTGAAGCAGCCCCACTACTACTAACAGTGGCTCTGAAAATGTGGACTTGACAGATAGTACCTGTCACTGGCTTTCTATCCAGGCTCCATTCCTTTCTGGGCTGCAGGTTTGAAAATGGATGTGCCCCAGGGAACCTGAATACAGTGAGTTCACACACAAGCAGGAAAGAAGTGAGTTTCTTTTGGTTTGGGTTGAAGCAGTTGCTCAAACGTGATAGGCAGAAGAGGTAAGGATTTCACTGTGCTTTAACAAAATGCTTCCATGGTAATCAGTCCTGTATACTGTATAATCACTATACAGAAACAAAGTGTGCACCAAAAGGTAAAGAATTTTCCTAGGACAAGACCGCAGCTCCACAAACAACCAAGGAAGCTGTTCAGAAACCTCTTTCTGTGCTCTCTTACTCCCCTGAGTTCATCCCCAGGCCCCAGGGCCTCCCATTCCAGATGTGAAGAGGTGAAGACCACGCCTGGAATAACTCCGAATACAACACAATTGCTCCTCACATATCAGCTGTTCTTTTCCCTGTTCACTACTGAGAAAACATAGATAAATCACGGCACTTTCTGTCTAGCATTGAAAATGGTCATTTTAAGAATCAGGGCAGATGTTGGCTACACACAGAAAGCTGCCCAAGGGTAGGCTTGAAGCAAAATAAATTAAGAAACCCATCATGTACTCTTGAGTGCAGGGAAACAAACTGATAATAGCAACAAGTATGCATCCTTTTCAAGTAAAGATAATGAGTCAACCTGCTGATTGCATATTGTGGTGACTGAATACATTGTGCAATGATTAACAAAAGAACTGATTGTTCGTAATTCAAGGAATATCTTTCCATTTACTGAGGCTTTACTTAACCTCTAGCAATAGTTTTGTCAAGTTATTCACAAAGGCCGTATAAATCTTTTGTTAGATTATTCCAAGGTTCAGCATATTTTTGATGCACGCAATTTTAAATGGTAGCTTAGAAAAATCACATCTTCTGCCTGTTGTTAGCATACAGAAATGCAATTGATTTCAGTATGCTGAATTTTTATTCAGCAAAGTTATACATTCTCTTATGAATTTATATGACTTATCGTTATATTCTTTTGAGCTTTGTAGTCACATTAGCTATGAATAATGATAGGTTCTTACTTTCCAACCTTGAAACTTGCTATGTTTTGAATGTGTCCCTCAAATTTCATATGTTGGAAACTTAATCCCCAAATTCGTATGTTGATGGTATTTGGAGGTGGGGCCTTTGGGAGGTAATTAAGATTAGATAAGGCCATCAGAGTGGGGCCCTCATAATGAGACTGGTGGCTTTATAAGAAGAGAAAGGAGATCTTAGCTGGCATGCTCTTGCCCTCTGCCATGTTATGACACAGGAGAAAGGTCCTGACCAGATACCATTGCCACGTTCTAGGACATTCCAGCCTTCAGAACTATGAGCCAAATGAACTCTTTTCTTTGTAAATTACCCAGGCTGTGGTATTCTGTTGTAACAACATAAAACAAAGACAATAACTTTTGTTCTTTTACTAGCCATATTCCTTTCAGTGGACTGGTCATAATGAATATAATCGTGTTTTTTCCCAATCTTAAAAATAACCTTTGAGCATTTTTGCCGTATTTTCCACAGTTTTTAAATAGATCTTTTTCTATTAGATTAATGAAAATTTGGCTGGGTTCAGTGGCTCACACCTGTAATCTCAGCACTTTGGGAGGCAAAGGTGGATGAATTGCTTGTGCCCAGGAGTTCGAGACCAGCCTGGGCAACATAGTGAAAAATCTGTCTCTACAAAAAAAAAAAAAAAAAGCTAGCCAGGTGTGATGGTGCATGCCTGTAGTCCCAGCTCCCTGGGAGGCTATGGTGGGAAGATCACAGGAGCCCAGGAGGCCGAGGCTGCAGTGTGCTGCAATTGTGCCACTGTACTCTAGCCTGGGTGACAGAGTGAGACCTTGCCCCCATACCCCCACCCCCAAAAACAAGAAAAAAAAAGTCCTCTATTTCTAGTTTGATACGTTTTTAACCATGACTGCATGAGAAATTTTTTAAAATACTTTTTCAGCATCTACTGAGATCATGTAATTGTTTTAATCTGTCAATATGGTAAATTACATTATTGATTATTTATGTTTACATAACATGACTATTTCATGTTACTCCAGACAGGTATATCTGGAATAAATCCTAGAGGGTTGTGAGATATATATCTATGGATATATACATATATCTATATATGTGTCTATATCTATTTCTAAATTTGCTTTCCTAGTATTTGTAGTCATATCATCCTTTAACAACATTTTAATTTCAGATTTATATTTGTTAAGTGTACTTTTTTATTCCTAATATTATTTGTGTCTTTAGTATTTTTTTCTTGATCAGTCTTGTGAGATGTGTATCTATTTTCTTTGCTTTTTAAAGAGCAAACTATTATATTTATTATATTTATTTTATTTTTTTCTTTGTTGATGTCTGGAATTATTTTTATTATTTTATTTATCCATTTTCTTTAGGTTCTTTCTGTTGTCTTTTTTCTGACATCTTATGTTGGATGCTTAGTTCACTAATTTTCAGCCTCTGTTCCTTTCTGATGAAAAAAAAATAAAGCTCACCAATTTTCCTTGAAGAGCCATTATAGCCACACATGTAAAAGGATCAATTTTTAGTATATAGAATTTTTTTTTTATTTTGTATTTTTCTACATTAATAATACCATCTAATTTCCTTTATGATTTCTTCTTTGATCCATTAGTTACTTAAGAGGTTTTCTTAATTTTCAATATGGGTTGACCTAGTTAAGTTTTCTAACTTCATTTCATTGTATTCAAAGAATACTGGGTATAAGAAATTAATCTTTGGCTTTGATGATTCTTGCTTTATGACTTAAATATGTGTGTTTGAATAAAGAGAATGTATTATTTGTGATGAATATCACATTTATAAATTTGTGTCAGATATAGTACTTATGTATATATATATTTTTATATAGCATTTGTTAATTTTATTGCTTAAATTTTATCTATGGCTCCCTCTTATTTCACTGAGACAAATAGATTTAGAAATCTCCCATTACATTGCTGAAATGATCTATTTCTTCTTTTAAAAAGAGCTTCAAGCTCATTCATATTTTTTTGGTAATTATTTTACTTGAAACAATGGTTTTGAAGATACTGGCTATCAAGCATTGAAAACTAACAATCCCTAAGAGACAGAAACAAATAAGGTGAGTCTTAACATTACTCCAACTTACTGCCTTGAGAGCGTTTCCAGGCTGGGGCCTAAGGCTAAAGTGAGGAGATAAAGCTGAGAGTTGAGGGAGACGATGGCCTCCAAATTTCACAGGACAAAATATTGGTGAGAGGTGCTCAGAGACAGAGTGTCAGAGATCTGCAAAGACTTGTTCAAGTTTATGCATGTGAGAAAACTAAAAAGAACCTACCCAAAAGGATTAGAGATAACAGTGTCAGGGACCCACGAGGGTAAGGAACAGTGCCTCTTATACCCACCAGTGAAACTGAAAACCTTGCTGGTTCACAGAGCATTGAGTAGAATACACAGAGTGGCCGGCCTCTGGTGGGCAACAGTAAGTCCTAGACTGACCCTTATTCCAGTTCTGCCTAACAACCAACAACGTGACCTGGAAGGATAAAACTATTTCCAAGTAACTTAACTCGGTCCCAGAACAACGACCAAAAATATCTGTAGAAGAGAAAAAAACATATCTAATAATCCACAAAGCATAAGTCACAATATCTGATATCCAGATATTGTGGTCAACAGAAACTGACGAGGAATGCAATAAATACCTATATTAGAAAAGAAGATCTCAAATCAATGACATTTTCTATAATATAAAACTAAATAAAGAAGAACAAATTAAATCCAAAGAAAGTAAATCAGAGTCAAAATCAATTATATAAAACAGGGATGGACAAATTTTTTCTGTAAAGTGTCAGACAATAAATATTGTCATCTTTGTAAGTCTCCTATGGTTTTGTTGCATATTCTTATTATTTCTTTTTACAACCCTTTAAAAAAGTAAAAATCATTCTTAGATGCAAGGCCTTACAAAAACAGAGCTAAATTTGGTCTACAGACTGTAATTTACCCAATACTGAAGTAAAAAGCAAAAAAGAAAAAGAGAGAGAGAAAGAGAGACAGAAATTCTAAAAATCAACAGCAAATTAGTTGAGATAGTACAATAGATAAACATGTAGGCAGAGAGAGAAGACATAAATTATAACATCAGCAAAGGCAAAGGTTACATCACTACAGATTGTGCAGATATTAAAAATATAAAGACAGATTATGGACAATTTTATACCAGTAAATTTGACTACTTGGATGAAATGGACAAATTCTTTGAAAGACATAGTCAGTCAATAAAAAAGAGATAATAACCTGAATAGAATTTGTTGAAGAGACTGATTTTGTAAAAACCTTTCAGTGAATTCTAGCAAATATTTAGGGTAAAAATTACATGAATCTACACAAACTTTAGCAGAAAATTAAAAAGGAATGACTGGCCTGGCACGGTGGCTCACGCCTGTAATCCTAGCACTTTGTGAGGCTGAGGTGGGTGGATCACTTGAGGTCAGGAGTTCAAGACCAGCCTGGCCAATATGGTGAAACCATCTCTACTAAAAATACAAAAATTAGCCAGGCGTGTTGGCATGCGCCTGAAATCCCAGCTACATGAGGGGGCAGAGGCAGGAGAATCGCTGGAACCCAGGAAGCAGAGGTTGCAGTGAGCTGAGATCGCGCCACTGCACTCCAACCTGGGCAAGAGAGTGAAATTCTGTCTCAAACAAACAAATAAACAAACAAAAAATGAATGACTACTTTCCAACTCAATGAAGCCACCACTGCCATAATACCAAAACCAGATAAAATATTACATTCCTCAGAAACAGATAAAAAATTAACATTTTTCACAAATGAAATTCAACACTGTATTTTAAAAAGTACATTATGATCAAGTAGAGTACATTCCAATAATGAGAGGTGATGCAAAACGGGAAGAGAAGTAAACTTCCTTGCCCTGATAAAGAGAATCTATGGAGGACCTACAGCTAACTTTATAGTTGACGGTAAAAGACTGAAGGCTTTCCCCTTAAAAGGAGGAACACAGTGAGGATGTCTGCTCTTATCAGTTCTATTCAACATTGTACTGGAGGTTTTAGTCAATGCAATAATTCCAAATTAAGAACTCCAGATAAACAAAAGACATCGAGGCTGGGAAAGAAGAAGAAAAACTGTATTCCTTCAAAGATGGCATAGTTTCTATGTGAAAATCCTATGGGAACTCCTACCAGAAGTACTAAGTGAGTTTAGCCAAGTTGGAAGAGAATAAGCTCAATATACAAAATTAATTGTATTTCTACATACTAGCAACAAACTGTTGGAAATTAAAACGTTAACACTACCATTTACCACATCATTTAAAAAAATATAAAACAGGAAAACATCTGACCAAACAACAGAAAGAAACAGAAGAGACATTGAAAACCCAAAACAAAACACCACTGAGAGGAAATAAAGTAGCCTCAAGTAAATGAAGTATGTTATGTTACAGGTTAGAAGACTCAGTGTTGTCAAAATATCAATACTCTCCAAATTCATCTATAGATTCATTGCAATCCTAATCAAAATCACAACAGGCTTTATTTATTTATTTTAGAAACTGACAAAGTGATTCTAAATTTTATAGAGTAACACAAATGACCTGGAATATCTAAAACAAAGTTAGAGAACACTACTAAATTTTTAGAACTAATCAAGCTACCGTAAAAAAGAGTACGTTATTGGTACAGATACAGACAAATAGATCAATAGAACAGAAGACTCCAGAAACAGACACAAACATGTTGACAACTGATCTTGATAAAGGAGCAGAGGCTATTCAGTGCAGAATGAATAGTCTTTTCAAAATACCATACTGTAGCAATTAGAGATTGATATGCAAAAAATGAACTTTGATTTCTGCTTTACATCATATACAAAATTAACACACAATTGATCATAGTCTTAAATTTAAAACCTAAAACTATATAACTTCTAGAAGAAAACAAAATAATTCCTTTATGACCTTGGGTTAAGAAAACACTTTTTAGCTAAGATCCCCAAAGCATGACCAAAAAAAAGAGCAAAGTTACAAATTAAATGTGTTAAATTTAAGACTTTCTGCTTGTGAAATATACTATTAAAATATAGAAAAGACAAGTCACGAACTTGGATAAAGCATTTGCAAGTTATATATCTGATAAAGAGGACTTATGTCTGTAATGTAGCACATGCAGAACTCAATGGTAAGAAAACAACTCACCATCCTGGGCAACAGAGCGAGACCCTGACTCTATAAAAAATAAAAAAATAATAAAAATCCAAGCAAGGTGGCATGTGCCTGTAGTCCCATCTCTTCAGGAGGCTGAGATGGGAGGATCACTTGAGCCTAAGGAGGTTGAGTCTGCAGTGATCCATGATCCTGCCACTGTACTCCGGCCTGGGCCACAGAGCGAGTCTACGTTTCCAAAAATAAAAATAAAAAATAAAACAACCCAATAAAAAGTGGAAAATGAAGAAAACAACCCAATAAAAAAATGGGCAAAAGATTTGAATGGACACTGCAGCAAAGAAGACATATAGATGGCAAATAAGTACCTGAGAAGATGCCCAGCATTACTTTCTATTAGGAAAATGCAAATTAAGACCACAATGAGATACTACTACACACCTGTCAAATTGAATACCTTTTAATTAAAAGGTAGACCAAACCAAGTGTTGTCAAGAATATAAAACAACTAGAATTCATCTATGTTTCTGGTCTAAATGGAAAATGGTACAACTACTTTGGAGAAGAGATTGCCATTTTCTTTGGGACCAGGACATTTCGCAGGGAAGTATTTGCACAAGAGGCAAAAAAAAGCACATGACTACACAAAGAACTGTATACAAATGTCCAGCTTTACATGTACTCGTCAAAACCTATTTAAACCCAAATGTCAGAACAGATAAACAAACTGTAGTATATATTTATGCAATGAAATAATATTCAGCAATAAAAAGGAAGGCACTTGCAAAATACACTGTAACATAGATGAATCTCAAAATGATTGTAATGGATGAAAGAATCCAGTCAAAATGTATATACCCTGAGGTTTTTGTGTGTGTTTGTGTGTGTGTGTGTATGGGTGTGTGTTTATTAAAATATATGTAACTTTTCTGCTAGAGTTTTTTTCCTGTGGTATAAAAACAAGGTAGTTTTCCTACCACCTTTGAGTAGATAAGTGTACTTAACATTAAATGCCAAAGGTAGACACCAGCAAGCTTTTGAGCCACCCCCTCCGGACACCAGAGTGCTACTTATTCTAACATACCCTACCGGGTCAGATACAAATGAAAGACAGACTGAGCAGGGGACACAGAGCTCAGTAATATTGACAGCGGGGTTCAAAAGGATTTGAGACATGGACTTCACAAACAGCAGCACCGTAGGTCTCCCTGAAGCACTCCCAGTGAATTCCTATGGTTGGCAATATCTGGAAGATCTCTGCACCCAGGTCATCCCACCAGGGGGCCCTGAGAACCAGAACTACTTTTTATCACTGTGCTTCACGTAGTCTATGAAGCAGAAAAGGCAGATTACGGCAGGTTGTCACAAAGAACAAGGTGAGTCAAACCGCAGGACTGCCTTTACTTAAGCATACAACAGAAAAGGCTGTGTGTCAAACTTTCTGAACCATTTATCTTTTATAGACTGCTGAAGACTGTTGAGTTCAGCGTCTCTTAATCCAAAGCGCTGTTTTAGAAAAGATAATCTACGTGGCAAAAAATCTGGTCAGGTCAGTGTGACTGCGCATCCTGGGGCCATCTTGATTATGAAAAACTCTAATATGGGAGGAGAGAGACTTTCAGTAACAATCACTCAGGGGAAAGCAATGGCATCACCCTGAAGGGCATGGATTAACAGATAAATAGTGAAGCAGGTTAAAATCTAACAGTCACATTCCTGTAAAAGATATCTTCATCTCACGTCTAATTATTTTCTTTTCCATTGCTCTTCTCTAATTAGTACTTGCTTAGTAATGGAAGCATCGAGAAAGGACAGAGAGAGTATTATAATTCTAGCAATAGAAAGCTAGACACCTCATTTTCTAGATTTGATTACACATCTTAAAAGTATCCATTTTTCCCCAAATTTACATGGCACCTATAATGGCATAATTTAAACTTTAAGTAGATAAGATGAATAGATGGGGACTGAATGCAGCGTGCTTACTTTAAAACAAAAATGTGGGTTCCTTATTTCCTAATGAGTAAACAGAAATAGAACTTTCCTATAATTTTCAATGCTGTATTTTATTTTGATTATCTTTACTAGTATGTTGAATGAGAAGTTTTTCACACACCAATGTCCACTGCAAATGTTTTTAGAAGTTCTCACTAAGTGGTGGTAGCAGGCCAATGCCACCATGCTCTCAACCTCATCGTGTGGCAGGTTGATTTAGTCAGCTTCCCATATTTTCCAAGTTCTGCTTTTATTTCCATCCCCTTAAGCAATGAAAGTCACACCATTAGAGTTGGCTCTAAGCTACCTAGGGTAAGAGTGGACGGTTAGCAGAAAATACATAAGCAATAACCAAATCTAATTTTTATCTTTCTCTCGAATAGGCAGCACAAAAATTACTGGAACTGCTAAAAAAAAAAAATGAAATTGAGTGCTAAGCATTTCAGCAGCTATTCTTTCACATATATTAAATGCTATTTAGCTATTATATATTATGTACATAAAATAAATGTTAAATGCTAAAATGTTAAATTTTAAAAACTAAGTATACGTATATGAATAAATTTTTAAAAAAATTCATATTCACATATGTATACTTAATTTTTTGAAGAATATTAAAGGTAAGACAATATAGAGACATGAATAATACACAATCTGCAAAAATTAACTATTGGATTAATCAACTATGTAGTTTACCTTGTACATAGTTCCTGGAATTTTTGGAAAGTGGCATGATATAATAGAAAGAGTCCAGACATTAGAATTAGGTAGACTGATATTGAAACCCCACAGCCTACTTGATTTTGAGCATGTATTACTTAAGTTGTAGTGTCCTCATCTGTGAAATTCCATATAAATCTAATGTGGGGATTGACCAATTTTATGTGTCTGTAGTGTCAGTATTTGCTAGCACATATTGGCTAGCAAAGAATGTACAGTTTTTAATATGCAAATCTGCTAGAAGTAGGGACAAACTGCACACTTACAACTTAAGCATGCAATTCTCCATAGCTTTTATGATGATTGCAGTTATATTATTATTTTATCGTTATAAGTTCCACAAGTTTCTTTGACTATCCGAATATAACCAAACTAGTTTCCTTTATCTCTTCATATGAAATGGGTGTATTTGTCTAGAATTTAATTCTGCAGCATATGGAAATTTGCCTCTGCAATGTTATGTATTCCTGTGACATTCTCTGGACCATTCTCAACCGAAGAGGAAGGTATACACACCATTCCTTGATTTTTAAAAACTTAACAATAAAAGAAAACTAAGAGAGTGGTTGTTATCATACCTCGGTATTTAAAATAGCAAGGCAAAAGCATAAATCCTCTGACCATTTACTCACAATTGCTCATGAGGCAGATAGTGGCAACTTTTAAGAAGACAAGATGAGAATAAAATTGCGTCACAAAGCAGTCTCTTGATTACCAATATTAAAATCATTTGTACTTATCAGGAACAATGGGGAGATCAGACCTTCTAACTCTAAATGAGTAATATAACAGATTATAGTCTCTATTTTGGCCAGAATCACAAAATGTACTTTTTAAAGTATACTTTAAAAATATGGATCATATGAAGTATGCATAAAAATAAGATGGCATTTCCACCTCTAATTAGCAGCTGGAAAAGCTAGAGTAAGTGTATGGCAAATCTCTACTATGGCCAATTATATTTCCAATGAAGCAATAAAGCATACATTTATTACATAATTTAACAGATATATATATTTTCAGTTCCTTCCTCCCTTCGTTATACTGAGGAATCTTCCTCTGGACAGTGCTATCCTCAGATGTTTTACTCTTTGTATTATTTGTCTTTACTGTGTCTATCAACCATCAGCAAACCATTAATTGAATAAGTTGACGTATTAGCTTTTATATTTTTGAACTAAGCAAATAAATTACTAGTTTATTTATGCAGTTATCCTTATTTGGAGACTCTTAAAATATCATATGAAAGGTTTTTTTTTAAATGCAAACACAATTTACTTTTCCTCAGTCAATTAAAAAAATAATATTGTTACTCTCACTTAAAAGAATATACATCAACAACAGAAATACTCATTAAATGGAACTATGTCAGGCTCTGTGGGAGATTAGAAATACAAAGCCTATAAGACAGTCTACAGGTTTGAATTTCTCTTTAAAAATATTTATTATATTTTTCTGTTTTCATAGAATTAGAGAATAATATATAGTTTCATGTTATATTGATAATAGAGAAATTGGACTTTATTTACAATTTAATTATAGGTGTTTGAAATTATGTTCTAGGCTAGAGATCTAAAACATAATTATGTTTTAGATCTAGAACATAATTATGTTCTAGGCTAGAGATCTAAAACATAGATCTCACATTATCTATTTAATTAAGAGACTTTTTAAAAGGCAAGATATGAGAACTGGAACTTAAATTTTAACACCATCTGTAATCTATCTATCTATCTATCTATATATATATAACAATTTAGTTTTTCATTTTGTGTAGATATATATACACACACACATATATGATTTCTGGGAGGAGTCAGGAAATACCTCTAAACAATACATACTGTCTCTCTAAAGTCCTTCACCAATTACTTCCCATATTAAGTACTGAAACAAAAACCATTTACCTAACTGCAGCTGTAGTAGCAAGAAGAAAAGCCCATTTCTTCAGCATGAATAAAAGGCAAAAGTAAGCAGGAAAGTGGGTTGGAGATGAAAAAAGAAATTACTCAGGACAAACTGGGTATTTCCTTTTGAACCAAATTAAAAAAAAAAAACATGGTCAATTTTGATGGATTCTAACATTCATCTCAGGGACCCTGAGTGACATAAAGGAAACCAAGTCAGGAACAATGTCTCTGTCTTCGGAAGTCTCCTGTGAAGCAGAATTTGTTTACAAGGTAAAGGATTAATTAGGTTTACCTTAACTGATCTATTTGACAAAAACTCAAATGTAAATTATTAAGAGCAAAGATCAACTCATCAAAAGAAATGAAGATTCTGCATACAAGTGCCCAGCAGATCCATCTATAGGTTGATACAGGGAGTACTTATACAGGAGTCTTGTTGGTCCTCCAGTATACAGGGCTATCTCAGACATTCTGTGTGAGGGCACTGTGGGCACTTTACACCTGCCACATTCAGAGACAAGGCCAAAACCACCAACGTGACCTTTATTATCTCCCTTAAATGTAGATTTCTGTAATTAAATATCTTCTACCCTTGGTCACTACTACTTAGCAGGATTACGCTATTCAATAAATTGACTACGTAATGTAGAAAGCAGAAAATGTTCTTGCAGCTTTAATCTTCTCTAACTGAAAGATGCTAATCTTTCTACTCTGTGGTCCTAAATTGTGCCCCTTGCTGCTTTCATAGCCGTCCCCCCACCCCCATCCCATTTCTTCCAGGGCCATCATTTCCTCTTTCAGGACAAGAAATGACTACAGTGTTCCATGAATATAATACCATGGTTTACACCACGATAAGAGACTGTGTTTCACTATGATTGCTGTAAGGTGGCCACATGGGCCCCAGACTACCATAGTAGACTACAATATTTAAGAAATAATCTAATATATAATACATTTTTTTTTGCTTGGTCAAAACAAAGTTTAAATTAAATATTAAAATCACATAAAGTTATTTTGAGGATATCAACAAACTGATTCTAAAGCTTATATAGAGAAGAAGAAGACCCAGAAAAGCCTACACAACACTGAAGGAGAACAAATATCATTGGTACCACCCGACTTTAATGCTTACTATAATGTCACAGTAATAAAGTGTGATTATTAGTAAAAAAAAAAAAAAAAAAAAAAAGATAAGATAGACAATAAACAAATCAATGGAGATCCCAGAAATAGATCCACACAAATACAGTCAACTGATCTTTGACAAAGAGGCAAAGGCAATAGAATGGAGAAATAATCATCTTTTCAAAAAATGATGCTGGAACAAATAGCCATCCACATGCAAAAAATAGAATAAATCATTACAGTTTACATCCTTAACAAAAATCAACTAAAAATGCGCCATAAACTTCAATATAAAATGCAAAACTATAAAACATGGAGAAGATAACAAATAAGATCATCTAGATGACCTTGGGTTTGCTGGTGATTTTTTACATGTAACACCAAAGGCACAATCCATGAAAGAAATAATTGATAGGCAGGGCTTCATTAAAATTAAAGACTTCTGCTCTGCAAAAGACACTCTCCAGAGAATGAAAAGCCGAGTCACAATCAGAGAGAAAATATTCACAAAATATATATCTGATAAAGGAGTAGTATCCAAGATATACAAAGAAGTCTTGCAACTCAGAAACACATAAGTAAGGGACCCATTTTTAAATGGTCAAAAGAGTTAAGCAGACATCCTACCAAAGGAAAAATAAAGAAATAAATAAATACAGCTGGCAAGTAAGCATATTAAAAGATGCTCACCATCATATGTCATTATGGAATTCAGAAATAAAACAAAATTAGATAGTACTGCCCACCTAGTTGATGGCTAAAATTCAGAACACTGAAAACAGCCAATGTCAGTGAGAATGTGGAGCAAAAAGAACTCTCATTCCTTCCTGGTGGGAATGCAAAACGTTATGACCAGTTTGGAAGATAGTTTGGCAGTTTCTTACAAAACTAAGCAGATTTACCATGCAATCCAGCAATCACACTTTATTCATATCTGGACAATACCTGGAAACAAGATGTCCATTAATGCATCAGCAGGTGAATGAACAAACTCTGGTTTATCCTTACAATAGAATATTATGCAGCAATAAAAAGAATTATTGAGTCACCAATAGATATGAAGGAAATTTAAATACATATTGCTAAGTGAAAGTCTGTCTGTAAAGGCTATATACTTTCTGGCTCTAACTAAAAGATATTTGGAAAAAGCAAAACTATATATAGAAGCAGTGAAAGATCAGTGATTGCCACAGGTTCAGGGGAAGGAGGGAGAGATGAGTACGTGGAGTACAGGGTATGTTTAGGGTAGTGGTGCTCTTCTGCATGACGTTATAACGGTGGATACATGCCATTAGATATTTGTCAAAACCTACAGAATGTACAACACAAAGAATGAAGCTTAATGGAAGCTATGGACTGTAGTTAATAATAACGTATCAATATTGCTTCACCAATTTAACAAATGTAACACACAAATGCAAGATGTGTTAATAACAGAGGAAAGTGTATGTGTGTGTTGGGGGAGAAATAGGGAAAATCTTTGTGCAACTTTTCTGTATGTACAATTTGTCTGTAATCCTAAAATTACAGACAAAAGTTAGTTTATGAATTTTAATAAACAGTTTGGAATATTTTTCGAAATCTTTATTTTTCACTTGCCATACTGAAAGTTACCTGGCATGGTTCTTTTCAGCCTTGTAAGCAATCAAAATATTTCCACAATCTAATTCAATCAAGCTTGGTATTTTACTGTTTGAAAATCTTAGCATTATTTACAGATTTAAGGTATTTCTATTCCTTCTTTTTAAAATAATAATTAAATTGTTTAATGAAAGCATTTCTGACTGTAAACGTTTAAATGCTACAAATTTACATTTCTCTGTTCATAAAAGAACTTATTTTTGGTTTCTTATCTTTAAGACAATGCCACATTCATGATAAAAATATACTTCACCAATTTTGAAATAGTTCTAGTAGATAACTATTAAAGATCATTAAAAACTCTTGAGTGGATGCATTCAGTTCTCTAAATCTAGAGTGCAGCATATCATAAAGTGTCTCCTATCCCTATCTTATCATTTTAGATTTTTTTCTCCAAAGTAGTGCTCACTATCAGAAATCACCTTGTTTAGGCCAGGCAGAGCAGCTCACGCCTGTAATCCCAGCACTTTGGGAGGCCAAGGCGGGTGGATCACTTGAAGTCAGGAGTTGGAGATAAGCCTGGCCAACATGGTGAAACCTCCTATCTACTAAAAATAAAAAAATTAGCTGGGTGTGGTGGCGGCTGCCTGCAATCCCAGATACTGAGGAGACTGAGTCAGGAGAATCATTTGAACCTGGGAGGTGGAGGTTGCAGTGAGCCGAGATTGTGCTACTGCACACCATCCTGGGTGACACAGTGACACACTGTGGCAAAAAAAAAAAAAAAAAAAAATATATATATATATATATGAAATCACTTTCTTCACATATCTGTTTACTTGTTTCCTAAATCATCTCTCCCAATTCCCCAGCCCATCAGCCCCATAGGAACAGATGTACTTGGAAGTGCCACAGCAGAGGAAAACCACCAGGTAAATAAATATTTGGGAGGTGACTGATTGAATAAATTAACTTATCTAGATTTGGTTTGTCAAGGACATTCGGAAAATTAGGTAGAATTTAGCTCCATGAATGTTGAGAAAGTTGAGTTTTGAGAGCCCTAACATGGCCAATTCATTTTACAGAGGTGGAAAATGGGGCTGACAGATGTTAACTCACCTTGTCCAAAGTCTTAGTAATGGAATCAGGAAAAAATTCAATCACTTGACTTTTAACCAATAATCTTTTTTACTACAAGAGTTAATTTGCTAATGAAATCTCCTCAGTATTTTCTCAAAACAGAACAAAACCATGAGTTAAGTATTCCTTTTTCTTTGCTATAACTAAATATACCTTTTAAAATTAAAAAAAAAAAAACATAAACATGGTTATAAGTGATCTTATTTCCTGCATTTGAGGCAGCTAAACCAGTATTTCCCAAAATGTCTTAATACCCACTTCTTGATCTGCTGCAAGGAAAAATATTGTTCAGTGGTCAAATACGTTCAAGAATCATGATTATTATATAGAGAATAGACGTTTGCCTCTTAATGGAATTGGAAAATTCCTACAGTAAAGATACATGTTTAGTTAAGGGTTGGCTAAACTACTTCACTGTGGCATCCTCTCTTCAAAGAACCCATCAATATTCTACAGAACAAATATGCCATACAACACATTTTTATCCGAAAATCTTTTATAATTGGCTTATATTATTGTTTTATTCTTCAAAATGTTTTCTAAACTGTCTCAGTTCTCGTCCCATGTCATACAATATTTTATAATTTTTCAAATTCTCACTTTTATGTTCTCACTTACTAAAATACGGCAAAATATAATTTATATATACATATGTGTGTGTGTGTGGGTGGGTGTGGGTGTGGGTGCGGGTGTGGGTGTGTGGTACCTGGAACACAATAAGTGGAAAAATTTGTTTCCTCTGTCTTATCGCACCCCTTTAAAAATAACACAAACAGAAAGTGTTCTTTCTAATAGTGCAACTTACGGTCCATTTATTTTTTAATATTTGTTATTTAATCCATGGCACTCACTTTTTTGAACTGCAGTAAGGTGTTCTTCAACAATTCCTAATTTTTCTGTGAATCGTTTACTTGGACAATGCCACATTCACATATACATCCCCTAACATTTGCATTTATTCAGTTTCCTTTTAAAATAAGTGCTAAACAAATTAATGGATTTTGAAGGAGAAAGGCTTTCCTTTCAAAAGAATGGTAACCTTTATGTAGTTGTTTTTAGATATTTCCTATAAAACCTGTCTACTCTCGATACAGTCAGACATCTTTTCTTCTTTTTTAAATATTAAAAATAAGCACATAAAATAAGTCATTTGTTCTTTAAAAAACAAACAAAAAAACCAAAAAACAAAAAACCTACAAACACAAAATCATGTAAACCAGAAATCTTTCACAGAGGTCAAGAAGTCAAAAGTAAACACCGACAATGAAACACCGACAATGGTAAGATCCTTGTGAGGCTCTCGCTCCACCTTTCTCATTACTTCTATGTTTCCGTGGCACACCACGGGCCAGTGCTTACTAAGACCTCTGCTTAGCGATGGAGTTAGTGGGTCTGCACCTCTGATTGTGCTGGGCATGAGACATACTGATTAAAAATGGTAAAAGGATAAAGGAACTGGCCTTTGAGAGACAACATGGATGAATGATGAGTTTTTGAATTAAATTTTTGACAGCTTTGATCTTTACTGAAAATTTAAATGAAAAACAAAACAAAGCAAAACAGAGTTCCAGGATTTTAGAAGTGCCTTTTATCTTAAGTGAAATGTTCTCATCAGAAACTTTGGCATCCCATCCAGTGCCTTTGATGCTGGCTGTGAAACAAGACAATCCATCTTCTTAGCTGGGAAGACAGGCCCTTCACCACCCAGGAAACCATAACTTGTAAACATCAGTCAAGTTCAGATGGCTACATTTTTACTTCAGAAGTTCGCTTTGCATTTGGAGTGGCTCATTAGGGGAAAAGAGAGAGAGAGAGAAAGGGTTATGGACCAAAGTGTGTTTCTCAAAAAATTCATATGTTGAACCCCTAACCCCCAATGTGATCGTATTTGGAGGTAGGGCCTTTCGAAGGTGATTAGGGTTAGATGAGGTCACGAGGATGAGGTCACAAGCCAGGATTGGAAAGCTTGATAAGATGAAAAAAAAAGAGTGAGCTTTCTACTCTGTGTGAGAACACAGCAAGAAGGCATCTCTCTGCAGGCCAGGAAGAGAGGCCTCACCAGCAATCACCTTGATCTTGAACGTTCCAGCCTCCAGAACTCAGAGAACTAAACATGTGCGTTTAAGTGCCCAGTCTATGAGACTTTCTTTTATAGTAGCTGGAGCAGACTAATACCGACAGACCAAGAGAGAGAAAATGGAGAGAAATTTTCTGGCTTGTCTTTTAATTATTCTTTATTTATAAAAAAAGCCACATTGATTTTTGCAGCAGTGATGCAAGTGTGCTGTGCATAGGTTTGATGTTCTGCTCAAATTAAGTCTAAGTTTTTCCACTAAAGGAATTATAGTGTTAATATGCCAAGAGTCCTATCTGCTCACGTACTTCCAGTCTCTGTAAATACGTGCAGCCTGATATCAAAGCAAACCTTGAGGCCATTAACTATAACATTCTTGGAGAAACAGCTGAAGACCTACTAAGAAAAAAGTACCAAATAACCAAAGCTGGCAATTACAATTCCACCCCGAAAAGAAGGAAGGCATGCATATGAATTATGAAAAATAGGGACTGTGCAGCTCTCAGATTTTCAACAATGAATTGCTCACATTCTACACCGTGTGTGTTAAATGTTTAAAAGTAAAAGATCCCAAACATTTTGCCAAATATGCAGTGTTCCAAAGGGAAGTATCAAAAGGATACTCATTTATAAAATTATGGTTCAGTAGATAAATTATAAGGCCTCAAAGAACATGCTGTTACTTCTACTTGCCAATTTATAAATTGACTCAAGTCTTCATTTAATTTATGAAAAATCAAATCATCTCAAGAATGTTTTCGTTATTTTTCTCTACCATGTAAAATATATGTTTTGTATGTTTGATAAGTTGTATCCTGTCAATTTTAGAATTTAGCTATTTGGAACATATAAACCACATTTCTACAACTCAAAATAGTATAATGCTTAGTTACCTATCTTTAAAAAAGTAATAGTAATGCACTGAGATATTTGGGGGTGGGAGGTGGCGGACACAAGTTTAACTTTCAAAAATAAGGGCCGTGTAAAATAACTGAAAAATAATCCTATTTGAATTAAAATTGAATAATATTAAAAATAAATTTCTACTGAAAATTACACCTGTTTCTCTATTTTATTTTTCTTCCTTTTAGGATAGCAGAAAATTCTGTTAGATAAATCAGACTAACATGGGAGACATTGTAAATATTAAGAAACAATAGTAGGAAGAGGCGGACTCACATTCATCTTGCTCTTTCTGCTATTCCCTTCCAAAACCAACTGTGAACAAGCACTCAGGGTGGCCAGGGTACGTGAGGAAGCCTCCTCTAGCCCAGAAAAAAACTTTATTTCACAAAAAGTTATCCTTCACAATAAAAAACACTATTCTATAAAAATTGTTTCCCCTGGCCAGGCGCAGTGGCTCACGCCTGTAATCTCAACGCTTTGGGAGGCTGAGGCGGGTGGATCACGAGGTCAGGAGATCGAGACCATCCTGACTAACACGGTGAAATCCTGTCTCTAATAAAAATACAAAAAATTAGCCAGGCGTCGTGGTGGGCGCCTGTAGTCACAGCTACTCGGGAGGCTGAGGCAGGAGAATGGCATGAACCCAGGAGGCAAAGCTTGCAGTGAGCCAAGATCACACCACTGCACTCCAGCCTGGGTGACAGAGCGAGACTCCTTCTCAAACAAAAAAAAAAAAAAAAAAAAAAAAAATTGTCTCCCCTGACTTGAGTTATGGGAAAGAGGGTTAGCTTCACTTGGCCCTCCATGCCCCTGCCCAGGCACGTGTCTGTATTAGTGTTCTGCAGAGGCAATTCAAAGTACATTGTCCAAAGCCCCTCTTTGAAAATCTTTTGATGCTGCTGTAATTCAATTTGGTTTCTATGTTGAATCTGAAGTTCTGTGTTACTACTAACCCCCTTTCTGTAGGAAAAAAATGTATTTTTCTATACAAACCCATATGCCATCGAGGTACCTGTATTTAATATACCTCCATTTAGTAGCTAATAAATATGTCTATTTGAAAACTATTTATTCTTCCATACTTAATCATAGTGAACTATAAATCCAAACTTGACAGCACAAGAAAAGTGACATTTTTCTTCTTTCATTTCTATGCTACTTTTTCCAAATTATTTCTTGTTCTTTTTAAAAATGAAGCAAAGACATCATCATTGTTACTATTATGCCTTCAGTTAACAAAAACCTTTTAAAAAGATTATTTGAAATGCATATGTAATATGCATGACTACGTTAACAGGATTATATGCTATTAGATATTGTGATATAAAATTACAACTCACTGGGAGATACAGTCCTCTTTGGGCCTCTCTCCCTTCTATACATCTTGCTGGACTTGCCAAGATCAAAAGGTCCTGCCCGCTTTTAACAGACTATTACTCAGGGTTGCTTATGCAACTGGTAACCTAAAGAGATAAGGCAAGGTCTTCCCCTAGACAAAAGGCTTGCATGCGGCTTGCTATAACAGTAGTCCCAGCTCAGTATTCACCGGCTGTGATGCAAATCCACCCATGAGTAAGTTCCCTCTGAGCCAATTGCTTCATTCCCTGCACACAAGCTGCTGCACTGCTGAGCACTGTGTAATAAAGCCCTTTGCCTTTGGCCCCAAGACTCACGTCTTCCACCAGCAGCCTGATACAGTAGCAGGCTCACTGATTTGTAAGAGGGGTAAAATCAAACCCCAGACTTGATAATACCATCTACACAGACATTCACTGGTATGATTCAAGAATATAAATAACTGGTATTCAATGTATCCAAAAACAATCATGATGAATATTTCACCAATGCATTGCTCTTTAAAATAATACCCAAATAATTATCTGTACTGTTTCCATACCTTGACCTTTCAACTGGACTTTTCCTTAATTTGAGCTTTTTTGAGTTGTCATCAGTGTCGTGGAGACTTGCGCCTTCCAATTACACAGTGGTGTTCAAACAGAAGAAATTCCAAACTTTTCTTCCTTTTGACTATAACTACCCTGGGAGTAAAATGTCCCCCAAATAAAAACATAAAATAAATAAAATAAAAGAAAGAAAGAAAGTATCTACTTGGCAAGTGGGAGGTCAGAAGAAAAGGGGCTTCAAACATCAAAGAAGGTTCTCAAAATACTCTTTCAAATGAAGAAAGCCCCACGCTCGGTGCCTTATCTTGCAAGCTCACATGGCCAGACAGCAACCTTTAAAGGATTATCTTAACATGCGGCGAGCTGGGCCCTCTCATGTGTTCTGAAATTTAAACCAGAAAATGGCTGCACAACTGACATGGTTGTGGGGTGTGAAGGGGAATCAGGAAGAGGGAGGAGAGGCTTACATTTCCAGAATGAGCCAGAGTTCAGATAAAGATATTTGTGTAAAAAACAAAGCAACCAGGAATATGATCCTGGGCTGTCAATTTGTAGAATACAATCTAATACTTATACGCCATAGGTAGTCACAGAAGTTATAAGAAACTACAAGCCCTAAGGCATTTTTTAGAATAGAAATCTCTCTTCTCCCTCTCTCTCTCTCTCTCTTTTTTTTTTTTTTTTGCCAATATGTAGTGTGGGATTTTCTTTGGCTAAAAACTGTTCCAATTTCCCTGTTTTCTAAATATACTTTACTAAGCATTTTTTTTTACAATCAGGAGTATTGTAACCTTTGTATATTTTATCAATAATAAAATAAATCCATAATTTAAAAAAATCACACAAAAGTGTATAAAGTAAAAAGTCAAAGTCCCACATCCCCACCTCTGAATTTCACCTTTATCTGTGTGTATATGTATATTTTGATATTGTATTTTGTAAGTGTATTGTTCTGTAATGTGCTTTTTCATTTAATAGCATGATTCACATTCTTCCATGTCAGTAAATACAGAGCTTTCTATTTTTTTCATGTCTAGACAGTACTTTACAAGATGATTATATTCAGTAATGTATTTAACCATTCCCCTACTGATGAATGTTGAAATATTTTCCCCTAATTTTTTACTGTTTCAAAATCAAAAATATGTACATCAACTTCAAGCTTTTTACTATAGCCCGTGGACTCTTACGTGATTTACTACCTGTCTTTGTCTTCCTCTGGAACTTCTTATACCAAATCTTTGTGCCCCTGGCCTTTCTTCCATGCCTGGGCTAAGCCAACCTTGTCTCTGCATCTCTGTGGAATGTCCTGTCCCAAGGTATTGGCGTGGTGGTTCCTGCTGTCTCATCACTCGCTCCAAGGTTACTTCCTTGGTGAGGTCTTTCTAGAGCTCCTGTTCTACACAATCTAATTTATCCTTAGTCAATATCTTTTATACCTTCTCGGTTTATTTTCTGTACAGCACCCATCACCCTCTGGAATAATCTTGTTCATGTATTTCTTACTGTTTACTGTTTTCATGTAAGATTTTTCTCTGGTATGCTCTAATGTGTCCTTTATTAGAACAATGTCTGCCACATCATAGGCTCTCAATAAACGTCCACTGAGAAGATGCATAATGGAAGTATACTTCAACTTGGATTGTAGCACATTTACACAAATATTTCCATTAGAGAGATGCCTCGAAGTAAAATTACTGCCCAAAGATTTGTACACACAAAATATTGATGGGTACTTGCCATGGGTACTGCAAAAAAGCTTTAATGGCAATTTATATTGTCACCAATATTATGGCAACGGCCCTTTTCCCACAAATGCAGTTTTATAATGCCAATTTGACAGGTTATAATAATTTTTTTGTAAATTAAAAATCACCTTGTTCTAAAGAATCTTTTTACATTTATCACATTTGTGTTTTATCTCCAAATTAATCATTGTTGAAAATCTTTTTTATTCTTTTATCTTTTGGGATTACAGAATGTCATTCTAGTTTTCTTCCATTATTATACAAGATTGAAAGGATTTTGGTTGGCTTTCTTAGATCTTATATCCAAATGGGATTTATTATTATATGTGGCATAATAAGAACTATTATTCTTTTAAAATGTATTAATTGTCTTTTGCTTATTAAAAAATAGTCATGGTGGACATTTCTTTAAATTTTCAAAAATAAACACAGAAAAGAAAATAAAAATCACCCCAATAGAAACTTGCCTGATTTCTTTCCACTGCATTCCCTGTAAAGGTGTGTTAATAGAAATGTTTCTTTGATCATACCTATAAAGTGGTGTTTATAAAAATGTTTATTCCCGGCCAGGCACGATGGGTCATGCCTGTAATCCCAGCACTTTGGGAGGCCGAGGTGGGTGGATCACCTGAGGTCGGGAGTTCGAGACCAGCCTGACCAACATGGAGAAACCCCGCCTCTATAAAAAATACAAAATTAGCTGGGTGTGGTGGTACATAATCCCAGCTACTTGGGAGGCTGAGACAGGAGAATAGCTTGAACCCGGGAGGTGGAGGTTGCGGTGACTAGAGATTGCACCATTCCATGCCAGCCTGGGCAACAAGAGTGAAACTCCATCTCAAAATAAAATAAATTTTAAAAAATTAAAATGTTTATTCCCTTATACAACATTCCCTCATACTCTTTTGTATACAGTTTGATATGGTTTGGCTGTGTCCCTACCCAAATCTCATCTCGAATTGTAGTTCCCATAATCCCCATGTGTTACGGGAGGGACCCGGTGGGAGGTAGTTGAATCCTGAGGCCAGTTACCCCCATGCCTGCTGTTCTCATGATGTGAATGAGTTCTCAGGGGAGCTGATGGTTTTATCAGGGACTTTTTCCCCTTTTGCTCGGCAGTTCTCCTTGCTGCCATCATGTGATGAAGGACATGTTTGCTTCCCCTTCCACCATGATTGTAAGTTCACTGAGGCCTCTCCAGCCATGCAGAACTGTGAGTCAATTAAACCTCTTTCCTTTATTAATTACACAGTTTTGGGCAGTCCTTTAGAGCAGTGTGAGGACAGGCTAATACACTGTTTTTTCGCTTATGCTATGAACATTTTCTTTTGAAAATGTGATTTTTAATAATGGTACAGTATCTTAATGTGTATGTGTATTGTAATTTGTATGAGTGTATTTTAATGGTTCCTATTGTTCTACAAGTAATTCCTTTTTCTGTTATTAAAAATTAACCCACCAATGAAAACCCATGCTCATAAAATCTCCAGGACCATCTCTGATTTCATTCACAGGATAGATTCCTAAATGTGGACTCAATAAGAAAAGGAGTATAAATTATTTCACAGCTCTTTTCAGGCCTTTTACAGGCAGGTTGTGTGTACTATTTAAAGTACTATTAATCCCACCACATACAAGATGTATTAGGTACTTCTTAAGAGTGCACTGAATATAAGAAATCTGTTACAAAATGTTAGCAGAGCAGAAAGAGAAAAAAAGAAAGAAAAAAGGGATAGAATGAGATTAGATCACCTGGTAAACTGTAGGAAACAGCTACTGCCCCCAGGACTCAGGAAACTCAAGAAAGTACTTTATCAGAACTTCTGAGTGCTGAGTGCATGCCAGGACCCCTGAGGATGGGCCGACTGAGTGGGTAGAAACCACCAAGGCACTGCCTCCCAGTCACGGAGGAGTGGCATGGAGAAGGGATCACAGACACTTCCAGAAGCAGGAGAGAGGGAAGGGTAGAAAAGAGAAAATGACAGCGCCTTTCCCCTGACCTGCCTTTGGATCCACTGAGCAGATGTCACAGGAACTCGCTGGCAAGGGCATCTGGGAAATACAGTTTCCTCCCGAGCCAAGCATTGCGGAGCAGCACAAAGGGCGTGGCTGGGGAAGGGTTGGGAGAACAGGGAATCACTCTCACACCCAAGAGTGCATGGAGCATATCTGGGTGTCTACACAGGTAAGAGAGTGAGGGGTCAAAACCGGGCTTCTTATGACTCTAAAATGTATTTTTAGAGCAGTTACCAGGAGAGCTGACATTGTTGAATCTACCTGAGAAGCCAGAAGCCAGACTCTTTGTATTACTACAGAATGTGATTCCATGCTGTTGCCAAATGCCAGGAATTTCTACATCGACTGCCATCAGGACATGGAAGTCTCATTGTTTCTTAAAACGCAACTATTCTTGAAGACATGGAAGGTCATCCTTCTTACATCCTTACATCCTTCTTTCTGTGGCCCTCCTAGGCTTGTCACGAGTCAGCACGAATCCCAAAGGTACCAGCAGCACAGAAGCTCACACTCTGTCATCAGAGCTGGGTTGGCAGTGACAGAAATGCTTATGCAAACACAGGCTGACTTCTCACTGAATGTATAGAACATCTAGGAAAGAAAGGCAAAGGATTTAGGCCAAAGCAATACCTCAATGCAGACAACTAACTAGTGGCAGCTAGCTAGTCACCTGCTCTCAACTCTTCAACGTCCTTCAAATATTTTCTCTAATTGATATAGCATAATTTGTGATGCCAACAACCAAGTGTTTTTTCACAATTACAGAGAGCCAAACCTGTGTCTCTGCTGCTCCCTTAGGCTACTTATAATATTGGCCTAGTTCTCTTAGCTGTCAGCACAATTACCTTGTGATTAAAAAGATAACATCAATAGGAATTTCTTTTTTATCAGCTAAGCCATGGTTACATGTTGCATGGACACTAGCACTCATTACCCCATCCATATTTTGGTGAGATTTTTGCCCATTTCCTTCGTTTTCACAGAAAATGAAATAAAGCATAAGCTTGTTGGTTGCAAAGGTGACATATAGTAAGTCAAATAAACCCATAATGAAGTTCCCTTATACTTCAGGTTAGCTTCAAAATCCCACTCAAATATGTATCCAAAAAGAAATAAAACAGGAAACTTTCTGGAATAAGTTCTTTTGTTGCTATTTTTATATTGAATTGGCAAATGTCATTTCACTGTCTGAGGTCAAGGGAACACAAGGGAACAGGCAGTTCTCGAAACAGAAAAGTTGGAGGTGCTGTGCCGTCTCTAGCTAAGAAAACTCTAGTTCTATGAAATATCATTCCACCTGAGAAAATTTTCACATGATTAAAAGATAACAGTGCCATAAATCTACCCTTGAACATCAGGTGTGACTCTTACTATACTACCCAATGTCTTTTAAAAAATATTTAGATCATTAGCCAATTTGTGTGGGTGATACAATTGTACACATTCCACAAAAATATCAGCCATTTGTCTAGTTCAGCATCTGGTAATGTCAATTAAGGGTTTTATTTACTCACAAAGAGAAAAAAGTAAAGATATTAGTTTCAAATTAAGTCCAACAGTCTATTGAGTACGTAGTTTAAATGTATTTCAGCTCTTCATCCTCCCCAGGGCAGAGATCACTGGCAGAAATTAGCATCCACGGATAGGAACCAACAACAGGGTAGCTGATGATGTTTAGGTGAACTCCCCTCTTTATAATAACAGAAATAACCCCTTTTCCCCTACAAAGCCCGTCTACATTTTGCATAGCACTAAGGATGGCAGACCTAGGAGCTGAGTTAGCCAACCCTGAAGGTATCCTGCCTCAAGACTTGTGGCTATTTGGAAAAATAAGCATCCTCGTCATGGGGTCAGTGGAATCGGGGCAGTTTGCTGGAGTGAAAGCCCCCAATTAGGTCACCCTGTACTTGTCATCAAGAATGAGTACACATGGCCTCTCTATCATCAAGTGGCCACCTACGCTTTTTGAGTGGTAATTCTTGAAATATGGTTTTCTCTATGAAGAAAGCTTTTCTCTCCATAGAAAAAGCTTAACAGCAAATTTCACTGTAGTCGAAATGTTTCACCTTTCTTTCCTTTTTGATGTGATCGTCAGCTCTTGACTGCATCTCGTTTTCTCATGCCTGCTTTCTTTCTGCTGTCAGTCACAATCCTTTGTGACAAGGTGGGATCACCTGGCAGATGATTTGGATGTTGCCTCTCATGGAGATATATCTCATTGACCCTTTCGAATTCAGAGATTTTTTTTTAATATAGAAAAAAAGGCATAGCATTTTAACATCACTAACTAAGGCAAAAGATAAGGACACTGGACTGAAAAACCAAGGATGTTGTATAAATATTCGTCCTTGTGTCACTATTTTATTGGCTTGAGGTATCCAGGAAACAACTTCATTTCCCCAAATTACATTTTATTACCAAACAAAAGATGAAAAAAGTACTACTTATCCCATTAAACTAGCATAATGGTTACTTTAATTGGAGGGGTGGGAGAGAAAGAAAGGTGAATCTACTTAGATTTCTTGGAGAAATGAACTTACAAAAATGGAAGCTGGTGGCAAAGCCAAAGTGAAATTCACGTTTACTTATTCCATGCAATATTTCTCTGTCCAACCTATGTAAAGCACTACAAATGAATACAGTCATAGCAACTAATTGAGTTATCAGCATCTCCAGAGTAGATGTTACTAGTATGTCCTGGCATATGAATGGTAGTATTATGTGGGATATTAGTAGTTCACTAAGAGTCCTATAGGACTTCTTGTGTCTGGAAAAAGAGTTTAGTGAGTGATACTGAAAAACCAACAGCTTGGCTCACGGGCATCATTGAACAAATGGTACTGAGCATGGAACGCAGCTACTCAGAACTTATGAGCCAAATGGGTGTTTTCCGTACATGGCTTCTTGTCCAGAATGCTACTGCTATTAGCCCAATGGCCATCACTGGTTATCAAACATCCTGACCCAAGTCAAAGCCAGACGAAGACAGAAGGCCATCGTGGGAAGGTGAAGCGATTCATGCTTAGGGCAAGATAATTATTTGGTATCCTTTCAATCCATTTGTTCAACATTTGCTCCCAGGAGAGGCGGGATGCTTCCTGGGGACAGATTAGAGAAGAAGGGACACTGCTAAGTGCTCATGTATTATTTCAAGCAGTTCACTCTGGGCCCCGACCCAAATCCTCAGGCAACAAAGCAGCACCCTGCAGGTAATAGGAACTGTCTTCTTTAGAAAGCAGTGTGGTGACCAGGTGTTGCTAATCATCAGAGTCTCTTGGTGACTCACAGCCGCCCTCATGCAGCTTTGCGAGTTCTGACTGCCAACACACACAGGACTCTTCCTAAGTATTATTTCAGCTGAATTCTGGGATGTGAACATCAGACTTTCAAACCCGGCTTTCTCACTTTCTACTGGGGTGACCCTAAATACAAGTTATTTCATTTCTCTGGACTCAGTTTCCTCATTTATAAACATGAGAATAACATTATCTACTCCACTGGTTGCTGTGAGGACCAAATAAAATAACACAATTAAGGTGTTATCTGGTATATAATAACCATTCGATAAAACTTAGCGATTATTATTTATGGCATCCATTCCACAATGGTACTCAATGGTACTGTGTACACTGCCTAAGAATCCTAACCTTTATTTTTGCTCCACTCATCACTTCTATTTCCAGTTCTGTGATGCCAACAAATTGGGTAATTGTACAGCAGCATGTTATTATGTTTCTTCACCTCCCCTTCTTACTATGGGTCCCTTCTCCGCCTTCCTCAAACATGGCAGCCCTGTGGGATGTTGAGGCTCTTGAGGCTCCTCAGTTTGAAATGAATGAGCTTGCTGAAGTGGAAACATTAGAAGGGCATGATTGGCAGATTATTTTGCTCCAGCACCTTCTTGACAGAAGTGCACAAAGCTCTTCAAGAAGATGGAGCTGCTGCCAGATGCCCTCTGTCCAGCCTCCTGGAAGCCCAGGAGAAAGCTGGAGTGGACGCCATCCTTCTGGCCTCCTCCTGAAGGACATACTGGTTTCCTTAATTTCTTTTCTACTTTTTGTCCTTCAGTCTGTTGTCCCTGCACAGCTATAGAGAAAACAAGGATTACAGATTCCATGTCGTTTTGCAGCCAGGGAACATCTTTGGCTAGAGATTTGACGGAAGTCAGTGCCAAGTGGCTGTGTCCCTGTAAGCAGTCCATTATTTCTAATGGTCTATTTGCATGCAAACCTCCAGGCCAGAGGCAGAAGTAAACATCCCAGAAACTTGTCCCTGGAGACTCTGGGACACTCTCATTTACACGCTGTGCTCCATTCACGGCGCTGAGTTTACTCACACGTGCTACACATGCGATCCTCACGACAGCCCTGTAAGATGGTATTAGCATCTCCATTTTATCAGAAGAAAAATAACTTCCGAGAGGGTTAAGCAATGGGTAAACACGGACATAAATATGGCAACAAGAGACACTGGGGACTACTAGAGAGGGGAGTGAGGGAGGAGGGAGGGTTGAAAAACTAACTATTCGGTGCTATGCTCACTACTTGCGTTGCAGAATGATTTGAACCCCAAAGCTCAGCATCACGCAATATACCCATCCAGCAAACCTACACAGGTACCACCTGAATGTAAAATAAAAGTTGAAATTATAAAAAATTGTAAATTACAAATAAATGAATAAATAAAATTTTTTAAAATACAGTTAAGAAGGGGACTTTGCAGTCTGGTGTACCTGACACTAAAGCCCGTGTATCTTTACCATATCATGTTTAAAAAATCATTTTCAAGAGAGGCAAGAAATTTCAGTGGAGAAAAAGACTGAGTATGTAGAATGGAAGATTCTCTAGATGTGTTGATTTTGTTTATCACGGTGTCAACTACCGGAGGAGTAGGCAATTTTATGTGGATGTAGACCATGCACCTTTATCAGGAGTACTTTTTCAGGTCAATTCCCTTCCCTAGCACTAAAAATAATTAATAGATCTCTTTGAGAGACTAAGACAGTGAGGAGAAAGTACATTTACCTACCACAACTAATGAGACCTGAATAACTGGAACAGAATATTTGGAAAAAAATAATGGTTTAAATGGTTAACGATGTGTAACTAGTAATATAATAGCTACTTCAACGGAGCTTTCATGTAAAACAGAATTTCATTGCAAGTTTAAGTTTTCTTTTGAGAAAAATTTGGCTATGTAAAGGTGAGTTTGGCAATTTTAAGTTTACAACTTATTGGTCAATAAGTAGTAGTAAGCCTCTTTTGTGTTTGTTGAGTTAATAAACTATGGTTCTTGGACAATTTCTTTGTTGGATGTTAATCTATAACTCTTATTTGACCTGTTATTTGACATTTCTAACCTCTTCCTTAAACATTAACCAGAACCCTGAGTACTTTCTTTTCCAACACGGGTAAGGGATTGATTTTTTTTCTTAATTTCATAACTTATGAAGCTAAAATGTGCAATATTTTGACTGAGTGAATTAGGAATTCTTGTTGGGATTTGGGAAAAAGAAAGTTATGAGAAACTGATGACTGCCTATGTAATACTTCCTTTATAGGAAATTCTTAATACCCTTATATAGGAAATTTTAATACCCTTCTTACATATCTTTTGTTCCTGGTGACATAGAAGAACAAGTTTAACAACATCTTAAGAAAGAAAATTATTAAATATTTACAGTCACAAACCTTTGTTCAAAAAAGCACTTAAAAATTATATTTAATAGAGTTTAATTGAGTAAAGTGAATCACATAGCCCTCAAACTAGAATAGGTTTAGAGAGACTAGTGTTTTTGTGTGGTCAAAGAAGACTTATGGAAAAAAAAGGAAAATGATGTACAGAAAATGGAAGTCAGGTACACAAACAGTTGTATTGGTTACACCTTGGTGTCTATTTGAACTGCTTTGAAGAATTTGTCACCTTTCAGAGGCCAAAACTTGGTGATCTTCGTGATTGGAACAAGAGGAGGTTATAGCCTGATTACACAGTTTACTCTGTACAGGGAAAACTTTAGGCCAGACTTAAAATACGCAAGGAGGCAGCTTAGGCTAAATTTGCTTTAACAATTCTCTCTTTATGGTCAACCTCCAAAAATCATGAGGGGTTAACCAAAACTCTAGGCACTGATGACATTTTGTCACTATTATAAACATATTCACACAGTTTTAAATTTTATTGGGAAGTAGTTGGATAGTGGGTTTTGTAAAGTGAAAAGAAGGACTTTAGGTTACTTTTCTGTAAGGATTAGAGTAGAAGGAACCTCTGTGTGTTGAAATTTTTTGATTTTAGGAGATAAAACCTGGTCTGCTATAGTTTTTTTTTTTTTTTAAGTTTTAGTTTGTTTATGTGATATTTAGTATGAGTGACTTTAGTTTGGTTTGGTCTGGTCGGTTGGAGCCTAGTACATGAGTTTAGTCAAAAGCAATAGCCTCTTATAATTTTATGTTTTATTTATTTATTTGTTTGTTTGTTTATTTATTTATTTATTCATTTATTGGATAGGTGAGAGGGTGACCCAAACTTTACTGTTGGCTTCGTGGTACTTTTAGCTATTATTATTTTCAGTTTTCGGTCTCAGTGTGTCTTATATGTTACAGTGACTTGTTGATCACTTTTTGGAGTTTTTGTTGTTTGGGTTGAAGAGGGACCAGTTGACAGTTTATAGATGTCTGTATGTAAACATTTGAGAAAATATAGTATTTTGGGGAGGCTACTATTATGACTATTAGGAAGATAATATTAAGAGTTTGAAATATGGTTTCTGGTCAGAGTCTCTATGAATCAATTAAAATTGAAGAGTTTTAAACGTGAGTTAGATAAATAGTATTTGTTTTAGCCAAGTAGTCTGTTAATCTCTCACAATTGAATCTTTATAATTTTTATGTATAACAAAAAGTGTTCATAACAAAACAGATTCTTTTTGTGTAGTCAATGGATAATCTAGTGTGATTTTATTATTAGGAACAATTTTAGTAACAGAATTTAGTCTTTTGTGTAACAATAGTCTTTGTAGTAGAATTTCTTATGGAGTCTATTATGAGGGATGCATTTATAATGACTGTCCCATTTATTTTAAACTATGGAAAAAGAGACCTAATAAGTCATGTATCCTGAGAAGAGTGAAGGACAAAATCTTTAGGCCAAACGTTATAAATAGAATGAAACAGCTTTAGACTAAACTTCATGTAACACCTTCAAGTGTGAGCCACAGTGATGAGTAACCAGGGTCTCAAGCTGGTATTTTTTCAAGCAAAAAATACTTCAAAAAAGCCACTGGAGTAGGGGTGGGGAGCGGGTAAGAAGATCCATATCTGCTTATCAACTCCTGTTTTTTTTTTTTTCCATTTCTTTTTGTATTTGGTGTCTACAAAAGAGCCTTAACATGGTTTAATAAACATGTGTCATAGACTGCATGGAGTTGCTTATGTTGTTTCAGGATACTTAAAGGAAATGCTCACTGGAACGTTCTAGATTTTGGATTTGGAATGTTCACCCAGTTAAGTATACTGTAAATATTCAAAACTCCAGAAAAATAGTCTGAAATACAGAACACTTATGGTCCTATGAATTTTGGATAGGGATACTAGACATGTACTTACAAAATGGTTTTGAAAATTCCTTAGTACAAGAAAGACTCTGCCAATCTGATACAAATATGGCTTTGTACACACACACACACACACACACAAACACACACCCCACTCTCTCTCTCTAGATATATATACATATATATACATATTAACATATAACACATATACACAAGTAAATATACTTTTCACTGAATTTTGGGTGGACATGGACCCACGGTTCTTGTCTGGGACATCAGCTACTAGGTCTGAGTCCCCTGTCTGTGCCCTGTGCATCTGGGAATGTGTACACACTCTTCAAAACTCCAGTTAATCACCATCCTCCCTGGGAAGCTTCCATGCTAGAGGATTGAGGAATCCAACTCTTGAGAAACAAGAACATCCTCTTCAGCTCTTCATTCTAATACTTAGCAGATATCATAGTGTTTTCTTAGTTGGGAGACTAGATTCTGTCTCCCTCATTTGCCCCAACTTCATGCCCACTGGAGCTCCAGACACCCACTGGAGGAGGCAGTGACAACAGGATTTGCCTCCAAAGAACACAGACCGCACCCTTGTGTGAATAAGGGAATTTTGTTACTCCTGATTACTTTACCCATCCTAGAATACGCTGAATTTAGCCATAAAAGAAGTTGAAAAAGATACTCAGAAGAAGAAAAAAGAACACTAGAGTGGCAAATTGTATTATATTACCAGTTTTACACATATCCACATGGATCCTTATGTTTGTGGGGTCCACAGCCTGACCACTGTAATCCCTCACATTCATGTTTCCCCGCCGTGTAGAAAAGCTATACAGGGTATTCCTGCTGTACACGCAGCCACTGTGCAAAGATGACCCTACTCTCCTTGGCACTGAGGAGCCGAAGTCATCCCCTGAGAGAGAGGCAGCCTACAAATGAATACCTGGGGCCAGGGGCCTCCAGAGAGGGGAGTTACTACACCAGGCAATGCTTCTCTCCCAGACAGCTTGAATATTAAATGTGTAAACATACTAGACAGCAAAGTAGTGCCGAAACCAAGAAATGGACACACGGAGAGAGAGGGGGAAAGGGAAGGGGAGAGGGAGGGAGTGGGAGAGGGAGACGGAGAGTGAGAGGGAAAGGGAGGGGGAGGGGGAGGGGAGGAGGAGAGAGAGAGGCAGAAGGAGAAGAACAGGGAGAGGGAGAGGGAGGGAGGGGGGAGGGGGAGGGGAAAGGGGGAGGAAGAGGGGGAGAGGGAGAGGGAAAGAGAGAGGTAGGAAGAGACCACGAGGAGAGAGGAGGAGGAAGACAAAGTAAAGGCAGGAGGAGAAGCCCAGTCTGGGAGGTAGAGACAGCAACAACTTGAGTCATGCGCTGGACACAGTGCCCACTTAGCAGGAACCGCTGCAGCTACAGATGGGTCCCAAATCATGAACGAGGACGTTCTGGTTGCACTTCCATCCTAAGAGGATGGTGGAGGGTGATGCTTTTTGTTTCTTACTCATTTCCCTGTGCATCCATACAGTTAGCCAATACCCTCTAAAGTAATAAAAGTGTATTTCTGCTCCGAGTAACTTGGTTGAACTAATATTCAAATCCAAATCTGCAGACTGGTAGGCTGACTAGGCTATGTGAATGTGTAAGGAACACAGAATGTGCATACAAATTCCATACAGACAGAGAGGACTGGGCTGGCATTAAGGAAGACCAGTCACTTCAGAGGACTGGCCAAGAGGCCAGTGACACCACGCTCGGTGACACCACAGCTCTTCTCATGGTTTCAACCCCAGAGGCAGATATTCTTGGCTGCCTTCTTGAGTGCCCTGACGGGGGCCACTCCTTTTGTCTCTTTCTTTGATTTCTCTGGGTGCAGACTAAAATTCTCCTTGAATCTAGTTCAAACTGTCCAAAAGAGGGGATCTATTCAGTTCGATTCATCACACTGGATGGAGTTCTTAGACCAACACACGCCACAGGCCCATGGCCAGCCTACAGATCGGCTCCCTGATGTCATGCCATGGCCATGGAAAGACTGAACCATCACAGAAGGGGCTGCCAGCACTGGGACAGGCATGTAAGTCATATGAGACCATCTACCTTGGTCAACCAGGCAGTGCTAATCGGGAGAGTAAGAGGACAGCACGGAGATTAGCAACCCAAAGCAATACCCCAGCAGGTATTAGAGTTGACCATTGGAGCTTGGCATGTTTTGGTTATTAATACTCCAAACTATTCATGCTTAAGGCAATGTGGAATTTCAAGTGAAAGCCAGATGGTTCTTGGGCAAGAGGAGGAAAGAAAAACAAAGCATCATGTGCTTGGGAGAACGCCTAGTAAAACAAGAGGATCCCAGTCTCTCCCAGCAGAGTGTGGGCATCGTTCACTCCCTTTGGTACAATCCATTCCCTTTCTCGTCGGGATTCACACAGCATGGTCAAAGGCAATACTTTAACATCACGAAATCAAGCTAGGTTTACAAATGTAAGGTAAGAGATAAAGAAAGACCATCTATCTGGAGTTCTTTTCTCCCCTTTCTTTCTATGTGTAGAATAAAAGGACAGAGAAGAGACAGAAATTTAAAGGGAAACAAGGCAAGTGCTGAAATAAACCTGCCATCTATTTTAAGTGAAACAATTTATTTGGGTTTCAAGAATACTTTTTTCTGTCTCTCGTTCTTCCTAAATCCCAGATTATCAGTCTAATCGAAGATCATAAAGGAGATGACAAAACAATTATCAGAGAGAAAACTGGATTCCACTTAGCAGCGGCTACCAAAAGTACAGTTTAATGTGTTTTCAATGAGGTGGGCCCCTGGGGGCCTGAACACCCACAGGCCAACGGATGTTTCTATGTAAGAAGAGCAACGTCATCAGCAAAAGCAATTTCCCACTTTTATTAATCCAGTTTATTTTAAGGCATGATTATTCAAGCTTTCGTCTGCTATAGTTAGTCTTGTATTTTCAGGATAATAAGACTGGTGAGGCTAGTTATCAAGTGCCTATGCACAGAATTCAAATGGCCTTTGTTCTACCTGGCAGTCTCAAGAACTGTTAAATGAGCTTAAACTTTATTACAAGAAGAAACAGAACATGCTGAGTGAAAGGTCTGCTTAGTTGCTTACCATAAAACCACAACTACTTAGGAAACTTATGCTCTGCATATTCTAAACCTGAAGGAGCCTCTAATGGGGCATTTGGGGTCAGTTTTAAGATGATTCCTCAAAAATGCCCCCAAATAAGACCTGGAAGGGGATTCCACACTTGGCTGTCTCTGCAGAGCCACAGGCAACAACACAGAGGTGCCATGATTTATTTAATGGAAGCTTGGTAGTGACTCAATATCAAGAACTCACCTTGAGAAGCCACATTTCAAGTATCTGAAAACAACTGGCAGGCCTTTATTCAAATACTTTAAATAGATCAAAGCTGTTTATTCTCTAAACTCCTCTCCCCTTCTTACACATTTTAACCAAGTCAATGTTTTCCTTCTATTTCTCTCAGAGGTCTAAACATCTCTAAACTATATTTGGCCTAAAGTTTTGCTTGACCACATGATTTTAAGAACTGTTGAATTTGAGTGCCATTGCCAGGGAAGCTGGGAAGATGGCTGGATACCAGCATTTACAAAGGTCTCATCACTCCATGAGTGATAAATTCCCATTTCTCACATGGTTCCTATGGGCTGGGAGTAGGAGTCCTCAATTCATTGTCCTTCTGAAAGGCCCAGATCTATGAATTGGGAGATTACTTGTATTCAGCAGTTACATTTTCTACTTTTTGTGGGCTTTGAGGAGATTAGAAGGGGTAAGAGAAAGATATTTGACATACTTCTTTCTCTACCCCTCAAGACTAAATAAATACTAACTCAACTATCTTACTACTTCAAGTTTCTAAATAAATCTCCCATTCAGGGTCAGGCTAATCCCCTTAACTCTCCTCTCCAGTATCATTCTGATCCCATCCGACACCTCCCAAACTGAGCCTCAATGCCTTTCCCGCATGGACCCGCCTCTGGCTGGTGAAGCCAAAGGTCCTGAGAGCATGCATGTGGACAGAGCTAGGCAGGTTTCCTTGGCGTCTCCTGGGGACGTCACATATTATCCTCCATTATGATTGTCACAGTACATGGTATGAGCAGACAATAGATTTTAAGGCACTTTAAAAAAATGCTTGTGTAAATGAAATGGAGCATTTGGATTCAATTTAGTAGCCTTATACAATATCTGCTTTTTATTTCAGAGAAGACTTCTGAGGTAGCTGATGAACATGCCGGCAGAGAGGTTGAATTCCGAGGTGAACCAGTCATTCCAATCCAAGGGAGACAGCGTTTGGAAGCTTTAATGTAAACAGAAACCCTGCGGGACTCACTTGTGCATACAGCTGTCAAAACAATTCAATATCCAGAGATAAACAGGGTATAAGACACCCACTAGTATATTATACTGGAATGCAACATCTTTTTAAAATTATGTTGCCATATTCTGTACTTTATCGAGTACCTTCCATTTTAATATTTCATCTAATAGACTGTAATTTGGCACTTTGGGTAGTAAATAGTGAATTAAATGCTGATGTGGCTTATTAGGGCAAGTAAATTTGAAATCAAGTATAGTGATAGCATTATAATGTGACATGTCATCAGTTTACAGAAGAGATTTCTCAAAGGAACACAGAGTTCTGAATACATGGGTGTTGGTATCATCATAGAGAACAGCAAGTATTCATTATTCATTTAGGAAAGGAAATGTGTACCTGGATAATAGTTTAAAGCTATATATATATATATACACACATATATATATGTGTGTATATATATATATGTATATATACACACATATATATGTGTGTATATATATGTATATATACACACATATATATGTGTGTATATATATATATATGTATATATACATATATATATGTATCATTAACATCAAGGCTGCATGAACCAATTTGCTTTGCACAAAGACACAGGAGAGGTGGTATCAAGTAGTGGAAGGAGTTGTGGCTTTGGAGTTAAAGATACTCATTCAGATTCTATCATTTGCTAGATATAAGCCTTGAGAAATATACTTCTGTGGGCTTCAATGCTCTCTACTGTTTAAAAAAAAACCTTGAAAAATTCCACCTTGCAGCATTGTTTTCAAATTGTCAATTTCAACTGGCGCTCAGTGAATGGGAGGTGTTGGAAATGAAGACATTCAGCACATAAATAAGGAAGTAAGGTGTTTAAGAGTCTGTATCACTGGACCTATGGGCAGTCTTTCTGGGCCACTGTCAAGCCTCCCTTTTTGAGAAGCTACAACAGCCACATGGGAGAGTCCAGCGACCAGAGTGGCCGCCGTGGTCCAGATAAGGAAAACCGCCATGGATTCAGCCAGACTTAGAGCAGGATCCGCAGGCGAACCGTTCTTCCTCTTCCAGCTATTTCTGGATAAGCCCACTGTGTCCCTTCCTCTGCAGAGCACACCTGCATCTTTGATTCCCCACCTTGAAGTCCTTGTCCTTTCCTAGCCTGAGTCATTCCACTCAGCTCAAAAGACAGTGTCTGGGCATCGTCTCCATTGGAAGACAGTTCCTGATGTTTCCTAAAGTTCTCTTTACTCCCCCGTCACATCCTCATAGCATGCAGCAATAAATAGAAATTACCCTGTTTTTCAATTATATTTCTATAACTATTGTTGCCCTCCTCCCTTTCAGTAATGTAAAAAATTTTCACAGTATCTTCTGTATCCTAATTTTCCCCACTCAATTCGATTTTTGAGATGAACTGGCAGCTGCCTATTACCTTTTACTTTTTCCTCTCTAAGTGATACTTTTAGTAAGCAATTTACAGCTACCTCCAAGGTGAATTTGTGTGTAACTTAATTACATTCACTTATACCCTCATTATAATTACAGTAGCTTAAAATCCCCATCTGTGGAACAAAAGATGTTTCCATTTATCATGTTTCTATTGTGTATAAGCTGTCCTTAATATTAAACACCACAATACTCTCAAAAGATGAGACTATCTCTGGTAAATGCTATACCTGTCCCCCCCACTATCTCTTTATAAATGCCTCAGTTAAAAATGATATGTTTTTACCATTACGCACTTTTTTCTGATTTTTTTTTATTAGTCCAAAGAAATAAAGTGCTAACAAATAGCTGGGTGGATGAAGTGAGTGAGGCCATTAATATTCTATACTGATAGTTAATATACATTCTCTTTTCCACATTACGTCCTTAGACTTCAGGCATAACTCCAAGTAAAAATTCAACAGAATAAGGAAAACTGCATTCATTAGTAGAATTGTTTTTCTTTTTCCCTTATAACACAGCACAATTGCAGATCAGGAGACACACAAGCAGACCTCCCAGACTCGTGGGTCACACTTAGGGGGTTATTGGTCAAAAATTTCTGGATATCTGCTTTCTGAGAAAGTAGCAAGATTTTGCTGGCATTTACTTTTTGATAATTAAAACTAGATTTTTATTTTATCCTATAATCGGTAGTATTCTCCCCCACTCAGAGTCATAAATAAGGTTAAATAGTACAAGACGTATTTAGTCACCTAATGATGCTGATGATCCATCTCAGCCAAAACAAATCCTTAAAACCAGGCAAATAATATTAATCTCACAAAAGAAGCAACTGTTAACTAGAAATGGAAATCCAATTAAATACATTTCCTGAATAATTAAATAATAATGAAAACTTGAGGAACATGTACAGGCATACCTCAGAGATACTAAGGGTTCAGTTTCTGACCACTGTGTAAAGTGAATATAGCAATACAGGGAGGCATACAAGTTTTGTGGTTTCCTAGTGAATAGAAATGTTACATTTATACAATGCTGTAGTCTATTAAGCGTATAATAGCATTATGTATATAAAAACAGCATACAAACTTTAATTTAAAAATACGTTATTGCTAAAAAATGCTAACAATTACCCGAGCCTTCAACAACTGTAATCTTTTTGCTCATGGAAGGTCTTGCTTTGATATTGATGACTGCTGACTGACTAGGATGGTGGTTGCTAGAAGTTGGGATGACTGTGGCAATTTCTTATAAAAAGACAACAGTGAAGTTTGCTGCACTGATTGGCTCTTTCTTTCATGAAAGATTTCTCCATAGCATATGATGCTGATAGCATTTTACCCAGAGTAGAATGTATTTTCAAATTTGGAGTTAATCCTCTCAAACCCTCTCAAAGCCACTGCTTTATCAGCTAAGTTATGCAGTATCTAAATCCTTGGATGTCATTTCAACAACGTTCACAGCATCTTCACCAGGAGCACATTCCATCTCAATAAACTGCTTTCTTTGTTCATCCGTAAGAAGCAACTCCTCACCTGTTCATGTTTTATTATGAGATTGCAGCAATTTGGTCACATCTTCAGGCTCCAATTTAATTCTAGATCTCTTGCTATTTTCACCACATCTGCGATGACTTCCTGTGCTGAAGTCTTGAAGACCTCAAAGTCATCCATGAGGACTGGAATCCACTTCTTCCAAACTCATGTTAATGTTAATATTTTGACCTCTTCCCATGAATCACAAATTTTCTTAATGACATCTAGAATGGTGAATTATTTCCAATTAACTTTTCCCAGTTCCATTAGAGGCATCCCTACCTATGGCAGTTATAGCCTAATGAAATGTATTTCTTGAATAATAAGACTTGAAAATTAGAATTACTCCTTGATTCATGGGCTACAGAATGACCGTTATGTTAGCAAGCATGAAAACAACATTCACCTCCTTGAACATCTCCATCAGAGCTCTTGGGTAACCAGCTGCATCATGAATGAGTGGTAATGTTCTGAAGAGTCATTTTTTTCTGAGCATTAGGGCACAGTAAGGCTCAACAGTGGACTTAAAATATTCACTCGAGTATGCCCTAAACACAGGTACCATCATCCAGGCTGTGTTGTTGCATTTACAAAGCAAGGTCAGAGTAGATTCAGCATAATCCTTAAGGGCCCTAGGACTATCAGAATGGTAAATGAGCATTAGCTTCAACTTAAAGTCACCAGGTACATTTGCCCTTCACAAAAGGGCAGGCTGTTCTTGGAAGCTTTGAAGCCATGCATTGATTTTTTCTCTTTAGCTATGAAAGTCCTGGATAGCATCTTCCAATAGAAGGCTGTTTCATCTACACTGAAGATCTGTTGTTTACTGTTGTCACCTTCATCGATGATCATAACCAGAACTTCTGGGTGACTTGCTGCAGCTTCTACATCAGCACTTGCTGCTTCACCTTACATGTCTATGCAGTGGAGATGGCTTCTCTCCTTCAACTTCATCAACCAACCTCTACTACCTTCAAATGTTTCTTGTGCATCTTCCTCACCTCTCTCAGCCTTCATGATATTAAAAAGAGTTAGACCCTTGTCTGAATCAGGTCTTGGCTCAATGGAATGTTGTAACTGGCTTGAACTTCTATTCAGACCACTAAAATGTTCTCCACATCAGCAATGAGACTGTCTCACATTCATATTATTTATGTGTTCACTGGAGTAGCACTTCCCTCAAGAATTTTTCCTTTGCATTCACAAATTGGCTATTTGGCACAAGAGGCCTAGTTTTCAACCTGTCTCAGTTTTGGACATGGCTTCCTCATTGAGCTAAATTATTCCTAGCTTTTGATTTAAAGTGAGAGATTTGCAACTCCTCCTTTCACTTGAATGCTCAGAGGCCACTGTAGGATTATTAGCTGGCCTGATTTCAATATTATTTTGTCTCCGAGAATAGGGAAGCCCAAGGAGAGGAAGAGAGGTGGGGGAACTGCTGGTCAGTGGAGCAGTCAGAAGACACACATTAAGTTTGCCACCTTGTAAGGGAGCAGTTCATCGCACTCCAAAACAATAAGATCAAAGATCACCGCTCACAGATCACCAAAGCAGATAAAGTGATAAACTTTAAAATATTGCAAGAATTACCAAATGATAGAGATAGAGTGAGCACATGTTGTTGGAAAGATGGTGCTGCTAATAGACTTGCTTGATACAGGGTTGCCACAAAGCTTCAATTTGTAAAAAAAAAAAAAAACAAAAAAAAAAAACACTCATTATCTGCAAAGCATGCTAAAGGGAAGCATGGTAAAATGAGCTGTGCCTGTGATACCAGCAAATATTTATTACACGCTGCATTTCTTTAAATTGTCTTATATGGCGGGTATTACTTTTTCCTATTTCACAGGTCAGAAAGCTGCAATGCAGAGAGGAGAAATGATTTGTTTAAGGAAGTAGAGTAAGTAGGCATCAGAGGCAGCATTACATTAGCTTCGAAGTCTTTATTTTCACTAAAATACCCTGCCTTCCCCTCCCTTTTGTTGCTCTGTGTCCCACTTTAGTATGAAGGGGCCTATGTTTATATCACAGTAAAGTCATGACTTAAGTAGTTTTAGACATAGTATTTCCCCCCTCATGAAATTTAACTCCTGCAGCCTATTCTATTTCTTTAACAAAGACATACAGAATCATATTAATTATCTTTTTAAAAAACCTGAAAATACCATCAAGATACTTATGGAACTCACATGAAAGTGAAATAGGGAGTATGTCCCCATTCCCTCAAGGAATTGAGTAATAAACTAAGTTTTAACCACCAATGGTAGCAGGTTTGCATGCCACTTCACCCAGATAACATAAACACACCAGTTATCTGCAACCCCTGTACGCCCAACATGGTATAAAGCAAAAAGAGAACCATTTAACAGCTTTTATATTAGCTAGTCATTCCAGTAATAAAACAGGAAGACAATCATACATAAATGTCACCACACAAAAACTTTCTCTATTACTTATTAATAACCAACCTGATAATATCATTAACGGCTTGTAGAGCTAATTGCGGTGGCTTTTTACTGCTCCCTTTGATATGTGCACTATCCTGAGGAGGATAACATCTGTTAGATCTAACTCATCCCAAACATCAAATGTGACACCGTGGTGTTTAAATAACTTGACTGCGCGCTATTTCAGCAGGTCCTTTCCCGCTCTCCTTTCTCATCTTCACAAGGCTGACCACAGGCAGAGGCCTTCCTGTGCTCATTACTGAGTTTCATGCAGACACGATGGAGTGGGAGGGAAAGTTTATTACCTTCATTCTGCTTGAATCCATCCCTGACTTTTTGGTCCTTCACAGATTTCTTTGGGAAAATAAAAATGATATATTGTTTTCTGAACAAAAGGAAATTAATTTCAATCTTTTAAAAACCAACTTGAATGTTATTCAGTTCGGTTTTTTCCCTAAAAAAAAAAGTTTCAGATTCCAAAGTTTTTCAAAAAGTAACTTCAAATTTCATCTATGTCAAAATAAGTAAAATAGGTCCTCTTGTCCTATTGAGAATGACAAGCTCAGTATAATCTTGGAAAAATCAATTTCTATAAATGACTAACCCGCCAATTGTATTTTGATTTTTTTTAAAAAAAGAGGTGCCTATGCAGATGCAGGATACATATAAATATAGAGTCAACCATCTCCTAGTGACTCAATCATTAAATATTTAGCTGACTTAAATTACACTGCATGCATGGGGACTACAGTTAATGACGATGTATTGTGGAAAATGCTGAGAGACTGGATGGTGTGTTCTCCCAGCAAAATGCTAACTAAGTGAGGTAATACATTTGATAATTTGCTAAATTTAACCGTGCCACAGTGTCTGTCTACTTCAAAACAGCACGTGGTATATAATAAAAACATATAATTTTATGTCAAGTTTAAAAGTATATTTATACTAAAAATTAAACTCATTTTTAACCCTATAGTTTATGTGAAACTATATGTTATGTAACTGAAATATTTTCACCTAATGTGAAATCTTGTCTCTGCTCCTGCCACAAAACAGAAACATGAGAAAGTCCACTCGTACTTGTCAGAGGTGGGTTCTCTTCATCTTGCTGATTCCTCTGGTGGGTCTGGTAAGGCTGAGCTTGGTGTTCCCTGGACTCCCAGAATGGTTTGGGTCCAGCACTGGGCTGGCCCTCAGGAGGCTGCCCTGCACATCCCCGTGCCTGTGCTGGGTTCCGCCCCAGCCTGTCTGTGAAATATGCGTGTACGTACGTGTGCACATATGTGCGTGTATGCATGTGTGTGCGCAGGTATAAGGGACAGAGACAGACAGATGAACACAGATGGAGAAAGAAAAATTGGTAGGTTGTATTGAGATTCCAATCAAAATCTAAAATATGATTTTATAGTTTCAAACTCAATCTAAACCTTTTTTGCAGGGTAATGTTTTATGACTAAGCAGACGCAGAAGTCACTCTCAAATAAATATAGACTACGTCAATAAGGTAACATTGCATTCAATTATCTCCCCAAGGCAGAATCCCTGTCTTTTCTAAATGATGTAAATACCTTGTTCTCTGTGTCCACAATTTAAAATGGAAGTTAATTAAAAAGTCGACTTGAGCAGGGACCCCAAATATAGATTCATTTATTTATTTATTTTTAAGTTACACAAAAGTATTACTATACTAGGGTGCACACTACAAAATATGCTAATAGAATTTTTGAAGCAATGATGTGAATAAAATGAATGAAACATTTTAGAAGGTTCATAAAGGCAACAAGAATTGAAAATCCAGTAATTACACACTAAGAAAAAATAAGCAAAAAAAAAAAAAAAAAAAAATTTCTCCAACCAAATGTTTACTGGAAGGCTGTGATAATTTTTATACTAAAGGTTATTATTCTCAACAAAAGCTTATTTTTTTCCTTAGTAATAGTTCTTAAGCTCAATTTACAAGCACAAATTCTCTAATCTTATTGTGAGAAGGCTGTTACGAATAATTTTTGTTGTTCATACAGAGAAATTGAGAAACAACGATAATAATTGCTCAAATTATTGAAGTTAAGAAGAAAATAAAAATTAATGGTCTAGTGTTTATTCTTATAAACCCTCCTCACAACACACACACACACACACACACACAGAGAGAGAGAGAGAGAGAGAGAGAGAGAGAGAGAGAGAGAGAGAGAGAGAGAAATTTTCCACTTGTCTGCAAATAGTCCCTAAGGTTCTTAGCCAAGGTGTGTACCTCAAAGTCTAAAGTATGAAGACTTAAAAGTGGAATCAACAGAGCATTTTATCATGAAAGCCACACAAGTGTGGTATCTGAAATGGTGTTCTAAACATCCTTCGAATGCTGCCTTTTCTTCACCTTATTGCCAGGAAAAGCACAGAAGAATGCGTCAGGTGGAAATCTGCATGGGAGGACAAGCAATGAAACAAGGTGGCCTCTGGCTGAGTAGATGCACTCACTCATTCCTCCAACCAGCGCTGTCTGTGCTAACTCCATGGCGGAATTCCTCTGAGTGCTGGGGAACACAACAGTGAACGTGACAGACAAGGTCCTTGTAAAACACACGGTCTCGTGGGGAAGGCAGAGCCAACAACACAAAAATATTCTCTGCAAAGCAGAGAACTGAGGTAAACTCGTGTGGTTGTCAGTGACTGGGGTGTTATTTTAGGAGAAGGCTGAATTCATGCAATTCTTGAGTTAATTATGTTCTTCGGGCTGGCCCTGGGGACTGCAGTGGCAATGGACCAGGTTTCATTGCAGGAGGAGGGTGTTGGCAGCGACTCTGGGCAGTGTGGGGCTAGGCCGAGGAAGGCGCCTGAGGAGACAGACACCCTTCCTCTCTGACCTCTAGGGCCCAGGTCCAGCTTCCCAAGACACCCAGCACAAGGAAAGCTCCAATCGTCATCTTTCATTTCTATCAAGAGTGACACTTACGGATCTCTAACAACGTTTCTATCCAATTTTGGGTCTCTAACTATGTTTCTATCCTGATGAAAAAAGCCAGAGGGTTTAATAAGAAAATGAAAATTAAATGCACTACTTCCTCACTTAGCACACAGCAAGGTTGAGGGGCAGCTTTTCTGAGCCTGACCCTAGGAATTTCCTAACTCAGGTCAAAAGGTGACTGACTCCCAAGCCAAAGGTCTCTAAGGACAGGTGTGTTAATAACACCACTGCCATGGGTGGAGCTTTCAGAGGTCTCCAAGGACAGATGTCTTAACAACACTGCTGCCATGGGTGGAGCCTCTCTGTGCCACGTACTGTGCTCGGGGAGGGACATGAACCACCTCACCCTGGACCCCTCTCTCTTCTCCAGTATCTGCATTACATGTGCCCAGGGGGCCCTTCTCTACTCTGCTGGGATGCCAGCATCTGGCCCAGCATCTGGCACAGAACAGACTCAGCCCAAATGTAGAATATAAAGTCGGGTATGGGGGTCTGATGCCCTGGCAAAGGAACTGAAAGACTTACCCACTGTCCAGTCCAAAGTCCCTAAAAGAAAGTCACAGAGGCCAAGACCCCAGACACTTTTTGTCCCCAACACCCAAAGCTTCATTTTAAAATCCTTTCAGTTCCTCCAGAAAAAAAAAAAAAAAAACAAAAAAACCTGACCCTCAATTCTTAGACATTTTATGTAAATGAGGAGAAAGTAAGGTGCTAGCCCTTCCCGATCACTTCTTGTTTTGAATGGATGTGTGAGTCCTGCCAAAGTGCAGGCTAGTTTGTGTTCTCCAAATGCCTCCTAGCTCAGTGAGGGTGGTGTGCGCAGGGCTGGGATGGGCCACACAACATATAGGAGCCCAAATAGCAAGAAGGCAGTTGGAGCACAGCTTAATCCTGTTGAAAGAAGCCACCAAGAAGAGCTGGGGCACCGGTGGGTGCAGGTGATGAGCAAAGCTACCTTCTTCCCTAGGTAATGATTGCCCATGGGGAAATAATCAGTAATTCTTCATCTAGGAAAATACTAGTTGCTGTTCAGAGCCTCTGACTGGAAGTGAGGCATTTCCAAGTATCAAACAATGATTAAAAGAAATAAAAAACCTTTGCATCTTGGCATGCTCATTTAAGAAAGAAAACAAAATAGACGTACACACAGCCCATTTGCATTCCCTCTACCCAGTCTAAAAGGTGTCCGATGATTCATTTTAATCATTTACCAATTTCTTGGTAACCAGTGTGTATTGCAGCAGATACTTGGCAAAAGCATGTTAATTTGCTACTAATATCTGTATAAACCAGACATTAATATTCTCAATTTACAAATAAGCAACCAGAACTTCAGCGAAGATAAGTAACTTAGCCAAGATTATCCTTCTAATAAGTGGTAAAGCTGGAATTCAAACACAGGCCTAGTGGAGTCCAAAGCTTTCCCCACTCCTCAGTAAAAAGCTAAACAAACTTCCTAATTTTCTGAGCTTCCTACATACTCTTTGCACTAGGGTAACAACCCCATGGCTGGCTTTATTGCAGAGTTTCTCTGCACTGGCATTTGGCCTTTGCCTGTCTAATTTTGGCTAGTTGCATAAGATTCTCACTTAGTGCAGGCTCAAGGTGAGACAGTATTTTTGTTTTTTCTTAGGTTTATCTCTGGAGATTGCCAATGCTTGCAAGAATAGCAATGCTATCATTAACCTAATAATGTTGGATTAACTTCAAGAGCTGGGTAATAGCGCCAATGTTCATTTCCCGTAAATGTTGGAAACTCCTTTAACCTCATGAGATCCTACATAACGTGGGAAAGAGTCCAGTTCTGACTCCAAAATCTTAATAATTCACTCTTTCGTTAACTGCTTTTTAAAAATTAAATGTATAACACCAAATAGTGAAAAATAATAATAATCAGTTTGTACCTAAATTTCTTTAAAGAAATTTTTAGTTTTTTAAAGAAATCTTTCCAATGATTCTGACTTTTTGGAGGGGAATGCCACATGGTGATTATACTGCTAAGGTATATATATATATATATATATACACACACACACACACACACACACACACACACCTTATATATATATATATATTTGGATTTTTTTGAGACAGAGTCTCGTTCTGTCACCCAGTCTGGAGTGCACTGGCACAATCTCAGCTCACTGCAACCTTCGCCTCCCGGGTTCAAGTGATTCTCCTGCCTCAGCCTCCTGAGTAGCTAGGACTATAGATGCCCCCACCACGCCTGGCTAATATTTGTATTTTTTTAGTACAGTCGGGGTTTTGCCATGTTGGCCAGGCTGATCTCGAACTCCTGACCTCAACTGATCCACCCACCTCGGCCTTCCAAAGTGCTGGGATTACAGGCATGAACCACAATGCCCAGCCCTGCTAAGGTATATTAACGGTCAGTTTAGTATTATTTGACTATTTGTTAACATAATAGGAGTAAAACTTAACACTTTTTAGGGTAGAGATGGTACAAAAAATTAAAGTGTAATAAATATAAATCTATAAAAACAGAAGTTAAATAAGAAGAAATCTTCTGGGGAAGAAGAAATAATAGAGTATAGATTATTCTTAACGTAAGTCAAATATTTGATAAGGACCACAGGCACCTTCTTTTAATTCAGATGCTGAATTTTCTTTAGTCCTAGAAAGAAGTGTTGTTAGAATTCCAAGGATATTTGGATGAAACTTCGCTGTAAACTCACGTGGAAACTATTTTAGCTGGCCACAGATGTGAAACTAAAAATGTTGAAATACTTATTTCAAGTGCATCTCGAAAATCTGCAATGACTTCCTCCTGGAAGATAATTTTCTTACTACGCATGCTTGACATGGATTTCGAACATCTGCAATGACTTCATCCAGGAAGATAATTTTCTTACTGCGCATGCTTGACGTGGATTTCGAAAATCTGCAATGACTTCCTCCTGGAAGATAATCTTCTTACTGCGCATGCTTGACGTGGATTTCGAAAATCTGCAATGACTTCCTCCTGGAAGATAATTTTCTTACTGCGCATGCTTGACGTGGATTTCGAACATCTGCAATGACTTCCTCCTGGAAGATAATTTTCTTACTGCGCATGCTTGACGTGGATTTCGAAAATCTGCAATGACTTCCTCCTGGAAGATAATTTTCTTACTGCGCATGCTTGACGTGGATTTCGAAAATCTGCAATGACTTCCTTCTGGAAGATAATTTTCTTACTGCGCATGCTTGACGTGGATTTCGAACATCTGCAATGACTTCATCCTGGAAGATAATTTTCTTACTGCACATGCTTGACGTGGATTTCGAACATCTGCAATGACTTCATCTTGGAAGATAATTTTCTTACTGCTCATGCTTGACAGCTGGGTCTCCACACTGCATCACTTCCAGGCTCCTTTCACACAGCCCTCCTGGCATTCTGCCTGGAAATATGTCATATAGCAAGTTTCACACTTTTTTAACATACTTGCAAAAAATCTTAGGTTAGTGCTAACCTAAGATTAGTGCATTGTTTCTAAAAGGCCAACGCATTACATTTTTCCTGAGAATAAATATTGACAACTCCAGGATTTAAATAGTGCACTTGGCTAAGATTATGGATTTTAGGTAGTCTGTATATCTTTATGATATTGTCCTATGTATTTTAACATTCTTCACTTTTCTTAGTACTGCCATTTCATGATTTTTTTTTCCTTTTGGATGCTATTGATTAGTACATAAATTCCTTGGTTGTACACCCTGTTTTCATTGCTAATCCAGTAGAAGAAAAGCAATATGCCCAAAATCTTTTACAAAAAAAAAAGCTTTCTTGCATCTGCTGCTTGCATTCTTTGTGTGATACAGTATTTTCTCTCATTATTGTTGGTCTTCAAAGGCAACAACAGCATAAGGTCTGCTCAGGCCAGAGGGCCTCCTGATATAGTCCTCATGGAGACCACACAGAGCCTTTCCAAGAGGTCAAAGGAGGCCAGAAGTTTTTGGTTCTTTTTCTCCTAACTTTTATGTTCATCCCAGGTAAGCCTCCATCTCCAATCTCTGTCTACTAGAATCTATACACAAGCTGGTGCACCAGCTTGCCTGCTCTCACTTGCCTTCCTTTGATGATACCATAATGTCTCTGATTCTACAACTTAATTTTTCTTTCACTCAAGTCTAGTCCAGTAGATACACATTCCTGTTATGGCAAAAGATCATGTACTGCTATTTATGGAACTGTAATTTATTCTGTACTTATAGGTGAATTAGGCAAACCAATAATGCCAGCAAAGCATATAGATTGAGGCCAACATTTGCAGTCATTAGACAAAGTGGACTCAGCCACTATTTCTAAGTCTTTAGTTTGGCCTAATACCTAATGTTACATTGATGCCATACTGTAAGCTCCTTGAAGTAATTTTCTACATTTTTAAAACTCAGCCTATCATTGCTAAAATAATAAAAATTCTAATGCAAGTTGCTCTTTATTTCTATTACCTGTAAGGACACTTGTATTTGAGAATACACACTTGAAATGAGTTAAATATACCAACATGGATGTTTGGCTTCAAAGACCAGGAGCATGTCGGATCCGGGCTCACTGCTAAGCTTTCTCTGACTAGGCATATAAATCAACATCTTCAGTGCTTTTAGGGCCACCATGCAGCAATTCCATGATGCTTGGCTCAAGCTCTGCGCATCTCACATTAGTCCTCCTTTCACCCAAGCTGGCTCCAGTAATTGGGTGACTGTTCTGGCAGAATCATGTGCTACCATTTAAAGTGAACTAGACAACCAGTTGATACTGGGTGAGGATAGGAGATTCTTTTTTTTTTTTTTTTTTTTTTGAGACAGAGTCTCGCTCTGTTGCCCAGGCTGGAGTGCAATGGTGCACTCTCAGCTCACTGCAACCTCCACCTCCAGGGTTCAAACGATTCTCCTTTCTCAGTCCCCTGAGTGGCTGGGATTACAAGTGCCTGCCACCACGCCCAGCTAATTTTTGTATTTTTAGTAGAGACGGGGTTTCACCATGCTGGCTAGGAGTTGGTCTCAAACTCCTGACCTCGTGATCCACCTGTCTTGGCCTCCCAAAGTGCTGGGATTACAGGCCTGAGCCACCATACCCGGCCGAGGCTAGGAGATTCATAGAGGACAGAGAAGACATTCTAGGCTTCATATTGAAATTGTAAATGTGAACCCATAAACAAGTCAATAGAGATCAACTTTTGCATGCACGATCTTATTTACTCTTACATAATACCACCAACTACCACTTAACTGGAATGTCATAATGTAGAATCTAGACAATCTTTATTAAATTATTAAATTAGCTAGAATCACTCAACATGGTATTGTGGTAAGAGTAAATAATAAATTTTATCTAGCAAATTTATTTTTGGATATACATTACTTCAAATAGTTGTGTGACCACAGGAGCATCATAACTCTCACCGGTTTTTTCTTCTGGGAGACAGCTAATAAACAACTTTACTACAATTTAGAAAATAATCCTTTAGATTTAGTTAAAATTAAAAACATTTCATATACTGGTAGCTCAAATAAAATTTTGGTTGCTCACTAAACCATATTATTTCTCAGACATGATTATATGGTCATTTTGATTACAAAAGAAATACAAAGCAAAGTTTATTTGGAAACCTTTTCAAATGTTTCTACATTGTTAGCAAAGCATTATATATTTTCAAAAGTATCCAAAATTTTTTTTGTTACACTGTAGTAACTTATAATCTAGCTTGTATTTCCTATTTTCCCATAATATTAACAAACATTTACGTATTTGAGAAAGAATTCCTTGAAGCATAATGAGAATATACTTGTTCAAAAATCTCGCTTTCATGTTTTCATTTTAGGACTATAAACATTAGGTAGTTCAGAAGAGGAGGTGCAATGCAAAAGGTCCTCTGCAATGCTAGGGAGCTCTGGGCAAAGTGAGAGCGTTCTGCTTTCCCTTAGAGAGGTCCTGGCCTAAAATGAACACGTACTTCCACGAGCTTCGGGTGTGATACAGAAATATGTATGACTCTATGTAATCCTTATCATGGCGTTCCTACCAACTCAAACATTTTTAAGGTTAACTGAGTACTCGATGTAATTGTAATACATCCACCTAGTCACTACTACAAGATAGTCTGTGTGGCTGCAGGCTATGAAGGATAGCTTTTTATTTTTTCCTTATCAAGGTAATATTTGGAACACTTCAAAAAAGCCATCACAGTGCCATTATAGATGAAAGGCTTCCCGGTAGAAATTTCATTTCCTATACCTGTAACAGGCTTTCCTGCAGAAATGATAGCATATGTGATACATCCAAAAGGCTTATCTCATGAAGTCCCAGTGAAATGTATTAATTTTGCTTTTGGAAAATAAAAACATCACTAATTTACTGAGAACTCTGCAATGCAGTGTAAATTCTGTACCCAAGAAGTAGAGCTCATCACTTAAGTGAATAGAAAAGTAGCCTATAGATGTTACTGTGGTTATGATAAAACACTTTTAAATCCTGTATATGTTTAAAGTTTAAAGAAAAGCATTTGCATCTCGTTTTCCTAGTGTAATTAATTGGACCTTGAATGTTGTATGTTTCCCTGTGATATTTGAATGAAAGCCAGGGGTTGTCTTATTATTTGCCTTAATATCTATTTGCAGTAAAAAGCTAACAAAGAAGTGTCCAAATTTGCAGGTAGTGAACCCCCATTTAAAAGATATACTATCTCAATCAACTCACCTATGTAACTTTATTAATATAAAAAGAGATATCCTGGCTGAGGGCAGCCAGAAGTTACTCTGGGATAACTAGCCTTCAAGACGTACCTCTTGGTAGTCATACTCTAGCATAATACCTTCCCACAATGAATTATGGCTGCCCTGTGTGATCAATACAATATAACAGCAGTAACAATATGTGCTAGATTATATAAAGGAATGCAGCTGCCACTTGAACATTTGGATTGCTCATCCAGGGGAAGCCAGCTGTCCTGCCATGGGAACACAGACACTGTCCTGCAGAAAGGTCCAAACAGAGAAGAACTGAAGGCCCTTGGCCAACAGCCAGCATCAATTTGCCACATGCACTTCAGTTTGCCACAGTGCCAACCACATTGGAAGTGAATCTTCTATCATCAGTTAAGTCTTCAGATGAATGTAGCTCACTGACATCTAACTGCCATTGCATGAGATACCCAAATCAAGAATCGCCCAGCAGTCTCTCCACAATTCCAGACCTACGCAAACCATGAAAGATAATGCATGACTATTGTCCTAGGCCATACGTTTTGAAGTAACTCATTATGCAGCCATAGACACTGATACAAACGCCAAAGTTACAAGAAATTCTCCTTTGTTTGCAAAAAAAAAAAGAAAGTTCTTACTCCAGATGCCCACTGTCACCTGGGGTTGTTGTGTGGTTTAGCAGTTTGAATTTCAAGGTGCATATGCTTTAAAATAAAGGGCTGGCTCTCAGGCCTAGTCTGTCTAGCTGAGCATACATATAGGACTATTATTATCTGAGTTATTAACATTTCTTCAAACACAGCATTATCCAGTTTAAATTCTGTCTTCCTCAGTAGACACTAAGTTGTAGAACTCAGGCACTGTGCTGTACCCAATGCACCAGGCACCTTTTCTGGTATACAGTAAAAGCTCAGTAAATGTTGGAGACAGGAATATGTCATTCATATGTGAATAATTAAATGTAGACAAAGCGAATCGAATCATTTCTTGAAGCCTAATGAGTTCTGGGCAAGGCCTTAAGCTGAGTTAAGAGTTACTATTGCAGAGCTTTTGTTTTCACTTCCAGGCAGTCCTTGGAATGCTGCTGGGCCATTTTGTTTGTATATGTACTAAACCAGCTGGGATTGTAGGAGTTTTAGAATGTTTTGAAAGAATAAATTTCTCTGAAATGAGAAGTGGATTGTCATTTTAGGATTCGGAGTAGTTGAGGATGTGTTCCTCGTGTTTGAACAGGAGTGCAGTCAGCATTAGTGTTGTCCAGCCCTCCTTGCTGCCCCACCACATAGAATATCGAGCCAGCTAGTCCCTTTGTTTTTAGGTGGGACGTGTCACTAGTTCTGGCTAACAAGGTGGAACGATGGGTATCACTTCCCAGCCAGAGCATAAGACGCCAACTCTTCCCTGCCTTTGTGACTGTGGCAACTTGTCATGGTGGAGCCTCGTGACAAGGACCTTGTCTGTCGCGTTCACTGTTGTCACTCAGTCAGCCTGGAGCCCGAGGTCCCACATCGAGCAGACCCACTCTGGACCCGTCGCTTGTGTTAGAAAACATTTTTTGTTGTTGTGTAAAGCCACTGGAACTATTGGCACATTTGTTACAGAAACATAATTTTCTGTGCTGATAAAGGCCAGTGTAAGATCGATATAAATTAATCACCCTCCCATATGCACATGCACACACACACACATTTATACAAAAGAAGCAATCATATTTACTGTGTTTTTACCTGCCCAGAATTCTTCTCCTTTTTTGGTAAGAACAACTTCACTGACTTCTGAGAAACCACAAGTCTGATGCATTTAGGTTCAAGGTGGGCTAACTTATCCCCTAAACACACAGGCATGAACACACACACACAATATACACACAGGCATAGGGTTTGACTAGGGTGGGCCTATCCACCTGTTTAGTTCCCATGGCCATAGTGGTGTTGGAGATAGTATGCAACCGAGGACAGCGCAATAAGGGTCACTCCTATGACTTTTGCTGGAACTATTAAGAAAGAGGCCTTCTCTTCCCACTAGGCTTGCTAACTGATAGAATGTAAGCCTGAAGCTTATGGTGCCTTTCTGTCACCAAGAGGACACAGCTGACTTAATGAAGTAAATTCCAGAAAATTTGCTTAATTATTGTTAAATGATTCTGTGAACTCTCTTCATTTAGCAACTGTTCAGGAAGGTAAGAAAAAGAAGCAAACTCGGGAATATCAACAGATTTGAGATGTCTGAATTAACTTCGAGCACCTGGATTAAGTCATGTCTAGGCCAACATTAATGCCAGGAACTCAAATATTTAATCCAACAATCTCTCTTTTTTTCTTACGCCAGTCTGGCTGGATTTCTGCTTCTTGTAATTGAAAGAGTCCTAGCTAATACATCTTCTATATGCACACGGCTGTACTAGATATTTGGAGGTAGATGGAAATGCAGAAGCCGAAGACAAGCAAATATAACATGGTCCTTGCTTCAGAAATTTAAAATTTGTTTACAGGGACAACTATAATAAATGAAAAGCTAAACGCTCCAATCCATGAGCTCTTCCAGCAGCGTTAAGGAGGTCTAGAAAAGCTACTTATTTCCTGCACTGTCACCGCTGACATTGAGTGTTAGGGAACTCCTTACCCATTTTTATTGAGGCAGAAGAGCACACTCGGCAGTAGAAATGTAAGATTTTGGCCGGTCACAGTGGCTCATGCCTGTAATCCTAGCACTTTGGGAGGCCAAGGTGGGTGGATCACTTGAGGTCAGGAGTTCAAGAACAGCCTGGCCAATGTAGTGAAACCCCATCTCTAGTAAAAATACAAAAATTATCTGGGCATGGTGACTCCCACCTGTAAGCCAAGCTACTTGGGAGGCTGAGGCCTGAGAACCACTTGAGCCTAGTACCTGGACGTTGCAGTGAGCTGGGATCTCACCACTGCACTCCACCCTGGGTGACAGAGCAGGATTCTGACTCAAAAAAAAAAAAAAAAAAGAAAGATTTTCTCAAATTTGTGGAAAAGAAACTAAACAAAAATTCACTATGAATCAATTTACTATAAAAGTTCTATTTAACACTTGCAACATAAAGCAAATACTTTAAAATTAAAAATCCCAGAGTGCTATGTAATACAAACATGAAAAACATATAAAAGGCTTCTAGTATCATTTCCTAACTAACATCTGGCTTACTGAATAAAGCTTTATAACATCAACTTCATTTTTCCACAGTTATTATCATAGGTAGTTATAATGTTTTTCTTAAAAAAATGAATATCAACACAAATTTGCTGTTATAAAGAGTAAGACAACTTCAGCCAGATCTTTCTCTTTTTGTTTTTTTTTTTTGAGACAGAGTTTTGCTCTTATCACCCAGGCTGGAGTGCAATGGCACAATCTCGGCTCACTGAAACCTCTGCCTCCTGGGTGCAAGCGATTCTCCTGCCTCAGCCTCCCAAGTAGCTGGGATTACAGGCACCCAGCACCACACCCAGCTAATTTTTGTATTTTTAGTAAAGACTGGGTTTCACCAGTTGGCCAGGCTGGTTTTGAATTCCTGACCTCAGGTGATCCACCCGCCTCAGCCTCCCAAAGTGCTGGGATTACAGGCGTGAGGCACTCCACCTGGGCCAGCCAGATCTTTTAACTTCATCAGGATCTTCACTTTATTTTCAGGGAAACAAATATGCAAATCTCCTTTTCTCTACAGTAATCTGTGTGTATATTACATGATGTGGCAAATGATACATTCCTGCTTGCCACAACTAATTTTCACTAATTTCTCCAGATATTCTATTTAAGAGGGCTATTTTCTAATGGGCAATCTTTAATATTGATCCAGTAATTTACCATACAGACTCAAGAAAAAGAAACTGAAGATGTAAATTTTTACTTCAGCAAAATACCTTCTTCACATGACTTAAAACATAAACATGATTATCAGGAAGTATTATGAAAAATGGGACTATGAAAAATGGGACAATAAAAATTCTCCTAGGGAAACTTCCATCAACAAGAGGGGACGGAAAAACAGCATTTTCTCTCACCAAGGAACAATCCCCTCCCCATTTTTTTTCATCTTGTTGGTGAAACTCTAAAATGAATGTGAAAGCCACATAAGCAACAGCAATTGGGTAGGAACTGTGGAAGGAAGCCAGAGATATTGTCATGGAGAGACATCTTCCTGAAAGTGAGGGGAACACTGAGGGGTCAAAATCAGAATGGGGTAAACCAATGGGTGGATAGCTCCACTAGACCAAATTTGGTTTAGAGTAACAGAGGAGGCAGGTGAAAATTAATAATCACACAGCAAGGCCACGGTTGGAAGAAGCAGTCTGTATCCATGAGGCAGAGAGTAAGAAAGTGAGCAATACTAGAATAGCAGGTGGACTACTGCTCTACGCCCCACCACATACAGGACACCCCTCCACAATACATGTCCATGAAACCCAAGTATTCAATGTTGAATAACACATACACACACACACATGCATGTATGCATGCATGCACACAATCTATACAAACATACTACAAGAAAAAGTCTATTTATAGACTAAGAAATCTCATCAGAAAAATGTTGTTACTCAACAGAACTCTCTGGCAACCTATTCTAGTAAGAAATGAAAACCAAACAATGAATCAACCAAGCAGTTGTGTCCATGAAACAAGACAACAGAGCAGAAATACAAGAGCTGGAGACATAACAGAGAAACTTAAGGAACAACTGAAAAAAAAATAAAAATAAGATGTGAAGTGACACAAAGGTACAAACTCACTGCAAAAAGCACTACAAGGAAAAAGATAGAAAAAAGAACAATGAGCTAAACGGCCTGTATGATTTGGAAAAAAAAGAAATCAAAGAAGAGGCTGGGCACAGTGGCTCACGCTTGTAATTGCGGCACTTTGGGAGGCCAAAGTGGGCGGATCACCTTAGGTGAGGAGTTTGAGACCAGCCTGGTCCACCATGGTGAAACCCCATCTGTACTGAAAATACAAAAATTAGCTGGGCATGGTGGCAGGTGCCTGTAATCCCAGCTACTTGGGAGGCTGAGGCAGGAGAATTGCTTGAACCTGGGAGGTGGAAGTTGCAGTGACCTGAGATTGTGCCACTGCACTCCAGCCTGGGTGACAGAGCAAGACTCTGTCTCAAGAAAAAAACAAACAAACAACAACAAAAAAAAAAAACAAAGAAGATTTGAATCTACATATGGAAATAACACTTTGTAATAAAAGGAAAATGACCTGTAGACAACACCAGATTATAACTTATTAAAATGATCAGTTTGTGGTTTGTGGAGCAAAAGAATCTTCTGGACAGCCAAGCAGAAAGATCAATTCACTTATGTGGAGAAATAAATCAGACTTGCCTCTGACTTTCCCACAGCAACATGTAAATATCAAAAAAAAAAAAAAAAAAAAAAGCTAAAATGACACCAGTAAAAAACACAAGGAAAGAGTGTTCCAAGAAAAGTAATACAGCATGTTGAATATTGTTCTCAAAATTTTTTGGAAAAAACCGAACTATCATTAGCTTAATAATAGAACTAAGACTGAAATCATTGTGGATTTTAGGGTAATGGAAAACAGTTTAGTGCACTTTGTCCTGACTGTAAAACAACAGCATTTCTTTAAAATGGGAGGTGAACCAGAAAAGGTAGATGGGTGGGAAGCAGAGGAAGTACATTTCTTAAAACAGAGGATACATCTTTTCTCAAATGCTTATGGAACAGTCATTTCCTTGAAGAGACTGCATATCAGGCCCCAATAAAATATGAATTAATTTGAATGAGGGAACTACTATATACATCATACTCTGAGTACAATGTAATATACACTTAGAAATTAATAAAGCAAAAATAACGTGTTATTAATTTAAAATAATTATTTTAAGCAATTCTTGAATAAAATAGGAAATCCAAATGAGAATCACAGAATATAGTAAAAACATTGATGATAATGGAAACGCAACACAAGGCAACCCACGCTGTGCATCTGAACTGATGCTCAGAGAAAAATTCATAGTTGCAAAAGCAAGTGTTTTTAAAAACAAGGAATAAAAAGTATGTTTTCATGCCAAAATGTGGCAAATGGAGACAGAACTACGATTAAATATATATAAACAACATAACCATAAAAGTCAGAAAAAAAGAATATTAAGAAAAAAATAGAAATTGCTGAATCAGAAAATGGGCAAAAAGAGCAGAAACATCAAATAAACTAAAAAGCTAGTTCTTCACTGGGAAAAAAAAAAACCTATGCAGATACTCCTTGACTTACAATAGGTTTATATCACCATAAATTCATTGTAAGTTGAAAATACCATAATCTGAAAATGCATTTAATACATTTAACTATGGCATATCATAGCTTACTGTAGCCTACTTTAAATGTGTTCAGAACACTTACATTAGCCTACAGCTGGGCAAAATCATCTAAGAAAAAGCCTATTTTTATAATAAAGTGTTAAATATCTCATGTAATTTATTGAATACTGAAAGTGAAAAGCAGAATGGCTGTGTGGGTAGTTCAATTACGGTTCCTACTGAATGCCTATCACTTTTCCACTATTGAAAACTCAAAAAATCATGTCAAACCATCATAAGTTGAGCATCATCTTTAAGCAATAAACTTCAAACTAATATAAGGAAAGAGAAAGAAAATATACAAAATTAAAATAAGGAGAATGGTAAATATGAGGGAAAGAACTTTGCACAATTCTTTGTAAATTTATTAACTTGAAGTAAATGAACAACTTTATAAGAAAATAGAATTTATCAAAATTGAGTCAAGACAGGAAATCTCATCAGACCAATTTCCACAGAAGCAAACAGTTATTTTGGACTCGATAACTTTTTAACCAGCTTTAAGCAACTTCTAGAGATTATTCTGAGTATTTCAAACCACAGTGTTGCCGGGTGAAGTGGCTCATCCCAGTAATCCCAGCACTTTGAGAGGCCAAGGCAGGAGGATCACCTAAGGCCAGGAATTCAAGACCAGCCTGGCCGACATGGCAAAACCCAGTCTCTACCAAAAAACAAAAATTACCCAGGTGTGGTGGCACACACCTGTAATTCCAGCTACTCGAGAGGCTAAGGCACTAGAATCGCTTGAACCCAGAAAGCAGAGGTTGCAGTGAGCTGAGATTGCACCACTGCACTCCAGCCTGGGTGACAGAGTGAGACTCTGTCTCAAAAAAAAAAAAAAAAAGTTTCAAACCATAGTGTCATTCCGATAAGCAGTATTATTCCAGCGTTTGCCAACCATGCTCAGGCATGGAGAGTTAAGGAAATTAATAGCCATATGTACTTTTCTCCAAAAGGAATCTATCGGAACACAAGGCCGTTCCCACACTTTCCACTTCCCACTCACAGTTGCCCCCCTACTCCCTCACGGTAAAACAAATGCAGAAGTCTCACTCTTGAGGGCTCTTAGCTTAATTCATTGTCTCGGGGTATAAGACTTTAGGCTGACCCCCAAAAAAGGAAAAGTTAAAATATGTGTGTCCACTCAGCCTCCTTTAACTAAAGCACTATACAATAAATCATAAATAGTAGGGGTTTGTGTCTTTCCTTGTCATATATATATATATTTCTTTTATTTCCTTTTTTTTTTTTTAAGACAAGGTCTTTCTCTGTTGCACAAGCTGGAGTACAGTGGTGTGATCACAGCTCACCGAAGCCTGAAGCCTCAAACTCTTGGCCTCAAGTGATCTTCCTGCCTCAGCCTCCTTAGTAGCTAGAATGCCATCATATCTGAGTGATTGTTTTTTAGCTTTCTTAGAGACAAGGTCCTGCTGTATTGCCCGGGCTGGTTTCACACTCCTAGGCTCAAGTCTCGGGCTCCCAAAGTGCTGGGGTTACAGGCATGAGCCACTCTGCCTGGCCCTGTCATGCATATATTTCTGTTAAGGGTATAGGGATATCTGGCCAGTGTTGGGATGGTCTGGACTCAGATACCCATGAAGATCTCATCTAGTCTCAAGGCTTTAAACACCGTCTGGATTCTCACTCCCAGATTTATATCTTTTCCGCCTTGCTTTGTTCTCAACATAACTGGCCAACTTCTTCTCAACATTGGTTTACAGCATGTCCATGAACGTGAAATTCTTTCAACTCACAAGGCCCAACACCATCTGGCGCCTTTCGTCACTTGTAGCTCGCCTCCAGCTCTCCTCACTCACTCTGGCCTCCAGCCTCTCCTGCCAGCGAATGCTTGCCCCCTTGGAGCTTTGGGCTTGCTGCTCCTTTAATCTCATTCTTCCCCATGCAGCCCTGTGCCTCACTCCCTCACCCGGGCTGCGTCTTTACTCAAATGCCTTCTTGTCAAAGAGGTCGACCACTCCGCCTTATTTAGAACTGCACTCTCTGCTTCCTATCCCCAGCGAGTTTTATTTTTATCTACAGCATATATCACCATCTGAAATACCACTGTGCATATCTGATGGATTTATCTTGTCTGTCGTCAGCCTTTTCTCTTTAAAAGGAGGCTCCAAGAGGGCACCGGTGATTCCTTTCCATTGTGTGAAGCTGTAACCCCCACACCTAAAACACAGCCTGACACAGGTGTCAGAAATAGTTACTGAATCCCTGGAATCATCACCGTATTCCTGGATTCAGGAATGGGGAAAAAAGTGTTCCATCTGAGGACAGAACTGGATCAAGTTCCAAAGCAGCCTCAAAGTTTGGATGGGATTGGAGTGGGGAGTGACACAAGTCGTTGTAATTACATGGGCGGGGAAATCATGGAGTTTTGTGGGAGGAAGGCCAATGTCAGAAGAACGTTTCAGGGAAATGGGTCCAGGTGGCTCACTTATCATCATTAAAAAGCTATGCAAGTTTTTACTTCTCTTTCTCCTCTATCCATAAAGTCCTGGTGGTGAAGGCTTACCTGTTTTTTTCATGGCATTAAACCGAACCATTCACTTCATGATTTTGCCTGGTATCCCAGTAGGTCTTCCCTATCCTAATACATAAAATAGAGGTTGGTTGGCAATTTGCTGCTTCATCTGTCAGTTTAGAAATAATCCTTTTTGGCCGGGTGCAGTGGCTCATGCCTGTAATCCCAGCACTTTGGGAGGCTGAGGCAGGCGGATCACGAGGTCAGGAGTTCGAGACCAGCCTGACCAACCTGGTGAAACCCCCATCTCTACTAAAAATACAAAAATTAGCCGATGTGGTGGCATGTGCCTGTAATCCCAGCTACTCAGGAGGCTGAGGCAGGAGAATCATTTAAACACAGGAGGTGGAGGTTGCAGTGAGCCGAGATCGCACGATTGCACTCCAGCCTGGGCGACAGAGTGAGACTCTGTCAGAAAAAAAAAAAAAGAAAGAAAGAAAGAAAGAAAATCCTTTTTTCTTTTCCTCATTAGCAAAGAGCTCAGTGCTTCCTCCAAAAGGATATTGGGTCTAGAAATTTGCCAAATACCTGTGAGCATGTCCTTTAGGATTCCAAATAGTACACTCATATTTTGAAATTTGGCAAAGGCTTGAAACCAACACTTATGGGTTTTTGGTTTGTTTGTTTCACTCTTGTTGCCCAGGCTAGAGTGCAGTGGTACAATCTTGGCTCACTGCAACCTCCACCTCCCAGGTTCAAGCGATTCTCCTACCTCAGCCTCCCGAGTAGCTCGGACTACAGGCGTGCACCACCACACCCAGCTAATTTTGTATTTTGAGTAGAGACGGGGTTTTGCCATGTTGGGCAGGCTGGTCTCGAACTCCTGACCTCAGGTGATCTGCCCGCCTCGGCCTCCCAAAGTGCTGGGATTACAGGCGTGAGCTACTGCGACCGGCCACTTCTGATTTTTTAAAAAGTGAACATAGAGCCACACACCAAGTAAGGAAATACTTTTAGCAGCATAGAATCCAACGCTTGCCTTCCTTCATAGATCTCTATATACACAAAATAGAAATGAAACCAAGCACTAGGCCTATATTATTAATGCAAGAAGTGTTTGCTTGGGATTGGATGAGCAAAAATGTCATAAAAACAAAACACCATGAATGTTTCACAATATGCCCCGCTCAGAGGTCAGCCCCTCCATGTGTCCTGCAGAGCTCCTGAAGCCTTTAAGAGACAACTCAAAAAAGGAGTGAGGCAGCCTGTTCTGACACTTGGACGTCTTCCAACGCAGACTTTCAGTATTATTTTTCTAAACATCCTAAATCTCTAGTGAGAACATGGAATAGACTATTTCTGTAATGGCAGATCTTACAAAAGAGAAACAACTTCCCGAAAACATGCCTATGTCCAGTCACAGAGACCAAGCATCAAAATCACCTGCAGGGGTTTCTCTAAGTCGCCCTCACACATGCTTGGACATCTGTATGAATTCAATGCACAGTAAATACTCCTTTGAGGGTCTCTTATGGACAAGACTTCGAGAGAAGAATAAGATACATTCTGCCTCCAAGGAACTCATCATCTAGTCCACGGTGTGTGGTGATGGGAATGCAGATGCCAGGTGCTATGAAGTGAACCGTGTCACCCCCAACATTTACATGCTAAAGCTCTAAACTCAGATACCTCAGAATGTTTTGGGGGACACGGCCTTTAAAGAGGTGATCAAGTTAAAATGAACCCATTAGGGTGGACCCGAATCTAATCTGAATGGTGTCCTTATAGGAAGGCAAGATTAGGACAGGAGAGATACTGGCGTTGCAGGAGCCCAGAAGAAACGCTACGCGGGGGTGTAGTGAGAATGTGCCATCCGCAAGCCAAGGAGACAGGCCTCAGGAAAAACCACCTGCTGGCACTGTGCACTCAGAGTAAACCCCGAGTGATCTCAGAGTTCTAGACTCCAGACCTGGGAGAACATATAAACCACGCAGTCTGTGGTATGGCGGCCCTAGCAAACTAACTCACCTGAATGTAAATATACAACTACAAAGCAACAAATAAAAAGATGGCAACAACAAGCAAGCAATGGAATGGACCCTCCTGCTGGGCTGAACATCAAGACAGGGATTTAGAACCAGCTTTACACAAGGAGCATCATTTTTCCCTAGGTATGATTTTTATCCAATTCACTTTGATTAATGACAGCTACCATTTAGCAAGGGCTTTTTATGTGCCAGGCACCAAACTCAACACTTTTCATGCATTCACTTACTCAACCTTCACTGCAACCATGTAAGATCGTTGCCATTGTTATTCCAAATGGACAGATGTGGACACTAAAACAGAGAGGTAAATTTTGACCTTTGCTGAAGTCAGATGGCTGCAAGAGTTGGAACTAGAGTTCAAGTCCAAAGAGTCCAACTCTAGAATCCTTAGAACCACTGTGCATACTGCATGAACAGTACTCTTACCTTCTCTAGTCAAGAGTTCAATGTGAACTTTATTCCAGAAAAACACACCATTCAACATCTTCATCAAATATTATAAAGAATGCAGTACTTAGATATAGACTCTCTATGCAGCATTTCCTAGCTACATTTGACCTCTCTGTTTCAATGTATCTGTGTAGCAAATATTCTATGAAACACAATTTCTTAATTATTGACCTCGTTGTGTCTTTACCAGCACTGTGACTATACCATGTGGTGTGAGAGTCACTCCAGTGAATAAACACAGACTGAGGTCAAGAGTCTAATCATTACCAAGGCCCTGGGAACCCTCCTTGAAGAGAAGAGATAGGAGCGCACTATCCACCATGAAAAGTTGAGGTAGGTAGCAAAGTCAGTGTCTACACCACCCGCCAGCTTCTCCTCCCCTCTTCCACACGGGTGCATGGCTGCCACCACTTCCTGATGGGAAGCTTTTCAGAATACAGATAACATCCTCACTCTCCTGCCTCCCTCCCCACCCCAGTATTTTTATTTAGTAGATCTGGTATGGCTCTAGGAAGCTATTCTTGAAAGTTTAATAATGATTCCAACTTTCTGCCAGGTTTAAGAGCCATAATAATGTTGACCAAAATTGTAGATTTTCCAGGATACTCTAAGCTTTGATAATTTTGTGCGGACAGTTACTAGATCATGTGATCTAAACGAGGGTTGGAAATACCCCCATTTATATTCCCAGGCAGACTTTCCCTTGCCCACTTCCAAAGCAACCTAGACTTTGGGACTACTCTATTCCCTCACTGCTCTTGCCCTCACTCACTTAAAATACTTTTATCTAATACAAAGGTGCTAGATGTTGACCTGATTGAAGTAGAGCTGTTAAGAGGTAACTGAAGCTTCAGCTAAATAATGCCAGGGGGTAACATTGTCCAGGGAAACTGTTCACCAGCAGACCTCTGTTGCTCCTGATGTACTCCAAGTTATTTTCAGTTTAGCCTTTCATAACGTTGTACAAAGAGGCTTTATTCATAAAACAGTAGCTTTGGTTGGCCTCCCACATCGTGAAAACAAATGTAATATAGTAATTAAGTGTGCTGATATGTTATCATTGCAAATGTCAAGTTCATTGTAGCAGATGTGTCAACTGAAGATCACTACCCATTAAAATCAAACAACCAGTAGGCCCCAAACTCACCATCTGATTTCATGCGTCAACTTCAATGCTTAAGACAGTCAATCACAACTGTCTTCCATGTAATTGTCTTAAAATTATTACATAACAAAGAATCAGATCTCAATTCTTATCACCTGCTAGTCATAATTAAAATGTGAATGAAGGGCTAATGACTGACACAGTTACAGGGTATAAAATACTTTCACAATTTTACTTCCCCAAATAGATGGCATTATTATTAAGAAAAATTACTCAAAATGTGAAATAAGGAAAAAAACGACTGATGTGTTAATGTCTTGCTAGAGCAAAGCTCACTAAATCTCCTTGAACTCTCTAGAGAAATGTAACTTGGTTAAACTTACTACATTTTCTATTCATTTGGGCCCAGGTATTTTACACATTTTAAAGTTTGGGTTCCTAATTTAAAAAAAAAAAGTGATAAAATCAGATGACTAATATTTTTATCAAGTTAAAAAGTTTTATTATCCAGTAGGATAATAAATTAGCCACTATGATATCTACATCTTTTCAATTTTATTTCAGCATTTCTTTTTCATCTGACTATATAAAATTCCTACTCTCATATCTTCTTTTGAACCAGTTTTGTCATCCTGCTGATTCCCTCATTAGTAGTCACATGGATCTTATGAAAATAAATATAATATCCCATTAGAAACATATCTGCTACTAGTCGGGGTACTTACATAAAGTTGCAGCAATTATCAGAAAAAGGTAATATGCAAGTCTCCTCTAAAATTTCCCAACTATATTCAGAAAAAAAAAACAAAACAAAAGCTTAAGTGACTGCTTAGGTGAAAATAAGACTTCCAGAAGAATGTCTGTCAAAGTTGTACCAAGAACATTTTGAAAATACAGGTTAATTCAAAGAAGCACTCACAAAATGCCCTCAATATGATTTTGAGAGGAATTATTACAAGTGGTATGTATTCTTGAAAGCCAGGTTTAGGGTACATCTCTAAAGCAGAATAGGTTGTTTTCAAATTGCTAGGTCATTCAAGGCCTTTAAACCACTATATTCTATCCATAATTTGCAAACGTACCACTAACTTACACTAAAGAGATAGTGAGAAATAAGTTCTTGTGGAAGCAATTTACACATACAGAGTTGACTATAAAGTCCTAGGCACTTTGGCAAACATGCTTAGGGGTGGAAAGTTTCTTTTTTGGTAAAGATCCCATAGATTACTATTTACATTTTAGCATCATCTAAACAATCTGGAAGCTCCTGAAGCTCATGTCTCATCTTCACCATGGACACAATCACATATTCTTACTCTAAGCATCTCTCATTTTTATTCTAGTTGATTCTCATTCTTCATTCTTCGTAAATGATTATAATGAATCCTCTGCCTCTTCCTTCCCCTCTTCTTCACCTCACTTTCCCCTCCCCTCCCAGCTTTCCCTCTGCCTTCTCCTCCCCTCCCCGCTCCTTGTCTTCCATCCCTGCCTCTCCCACTCCCCCTGTCTCTCTGACACTGTTGTCTCCAACCACACACAGGCTCCCTGGGTTTCTTTCACAAATAAAGGAACGATTTGCATAGATGGGGTAATGTGCATCTGCTTTTGTGGTGTACCTTCCATTCTTCCTTTCTTCTGGGAATAGTAACTCCCTCCCTTTTCTTTTCTTTTGTATTTTTTTTTTATAGACAGTGTCTCACTCTATTGCCCAGGCTGGAGTGCAGTGGCACAATCATAACTCATGACAGCCTCAAACTCCTGGGCTTCTGCGATCCTCCTGCCTCAACCTCCTGAGTAGTTGGAACTACAGGTGTGCTCTACCATGCCTGCCATATTTTTTTTTGAGAGGGGGTCTCACTATGTTGCCCAGGCTGGTCTCAAGCTTCTGGCTTAAAGTGATCATCCAGCCTTGGCCTCCCCAAATGCTGGCATTACAGGTGTGCACCACCACGCCCAGACCCCTCTCCCTTTTCTGTAGCACACCCCACCCTCACCCCATGCACTTTTGCATGATTATCAATATGGGTTGAACCACATGAAATTGCCAATTTTGTAGATCAAACATGATAGAATATTAGCAAATAGAATCATGAGATTGAACATATCCTTTTAATAACACTAACGTATTCAGTATTTTATCAAGCATATAATTTAAAGTTGTATTACTAGTTATAAATTTAATATTTACCTCTTTCAAGCCCAAGCACAAAATATTTGGTTTGTTTAAACTACATCATGTAGGATGAAATTAATACCTCAAGTGGGATTCTCAACACACTAACTAGAAACAGCTCTCAGAGAAGATAATTCAAAGACGAATTTAAAATCAATCCCACAGCAAGTAAAACCAACTTTTTTACCAAGTAGTTCAGTCACATGGGAGCAGCGGAATCAGTGTGACATTTTCTTTTCACGGGATATGTGCAACCATGCTGTTTAAAAGGGAAGAAATAAGATAAGCTGATTTTATTTCCACCAGTGAAAAAAGTTTTCAATACAGCAGCTTTCATCGACTCAGCATGGCTAACAAAATAACATTATCAATGAAAATAAAATAATAGATCAGCTGCACAATCTAGGCATTTTTGTTTTTAGAGGCCTTCTCTAACATTTCTCTGTAGAGATCTGTGAATGCCTGGTTCCTGTGAATGAAAACCACCCTGCTGTTTTTTCTGCTCCTGCTGAGAGACTTGCAAAGAATAAAATCTTTTTTTTTTTCCAGCTGGAGATCAATTGGTTTGAGGACTGCTCTGGCCCCCAGGAAGTATTCTTTGCCCCCATGGGGGGAAGAGATCCTCAGTTCCCCACCCTGACCAGAGTTTGCCCCCATTGGATAGTTTTCAAAGCTGAATCCAGAAACAGACCTAAAAGCATATCCAAAAAATGTGCCACTGAAAAACAGCTAACGATTCACATGGAAAGTCCACACCCTCCATCTAGCCGGGTCTCCTCCTGCCTCCCTTGGGGAAGAAGGGGGAGAATGCCCTTTCCAATTTCGCTCGACTGAAAGCAAGGGCTGTGTCTGTCCCCCTTGCTGAAAAGCCTCCTTTTGTTTTTCTTTTCTACTGTCAGGAAGCCTGCCTCAGAGGAGTGGACAATGCATACCAATGAGGAAAGGAGAGCAGAGGTGATTGAAAGTGAAGATAATTTTTCCCTGTCATTTACAGGCTGCTTCTCAAACCATGCCCCTTTTGTGATTCCACTTCAAAACACATTCTTGCCAACTCTCATCCAGGAGGCTTTTCCTTAGTGATCTGCTCCACTATCTTGGAGTTTGGCTTCTGTTATCACCTGAGGAGCTGAAAAGCGTTCAGATTCAAGGAAGCCTCTCCTCTGCCCAAATCAGCAGAATTTAAGGCTCATGAGGATGAGGACTGTGACAGGGAAGAAGGAGGTGACAGGGAAAGGAAATGATACTTTAGCTTATTTCATTGTTGAATGGAGCAAAGTTGAAAATGATTCTTCTGGTGTCTCTCCTTAAATCTTGGGGTATTGATACAGACTCATACAAAAATGAAAAGGAGAGAAATGAACATATTCATATAGTCCTTTGGGGTTTCACAGTGATCTACCTACAGCGACATGTTATTTTAAATTACAATAATCTATTTAAAGAGAAATATGGTGGAATTTACTTTTAAAAAGGTTACGTTGCAGGGATGTTTTAAAAGATAAAAATTAAATGGCAACTCAAAAAATATCTGTCAGGCATTTAAAAATGGATTTCAAGACAAGCATTTGAATCCTACTTTACAAGAAGTGACTAGGTTAATTAGGAAAATAAGGTATCTTCTGATAACAGTAAACCTTGAGATACATGTGTAGCTCTTATACCGGAATGACCATGAATCACTAACAAATTTACTTTCTAGACAAAAGATGGACCACTTAGACAGCACAGTATAAGAAACAAGGAATGTTAAATGAAGCTTAACATCATGTAACAGATGTTAGGTTTTCTCCTCTCCCCCAAGGAGGACTGTAATACTGTTGGAGATGACACTTGTCAACTGTGCAATGTGTGTGATAAATTACAGAAGCAAAAACATAATATTATTATTTAATAATCCATTTTAAATATCACTGTCATTTAAATACCACCTGTAAGAAAAGTTGTATAAATTTGGCAATGAAAAATACACAATCCAGAAAAAATTACAATTAAGGATCAGGTTTTTCTTTGAATATAGTTATAATTTTTAAAAATCCCTTATCACTTTTATTAACTATAATTATTAGGAGACTGGAGACAAATATAACCATTGAAGCAAACTGAGTACCTTTCAAGGGCCACCGTCTTTTTCCTCTAACCTCCTCAGGCTCACATCCCCACCTCACCCCACCACATTTAAATTACTTTAAAAACACTAAAAAATGTTTCCTATATTAGAAATTTGAATCTATCAACCCTGATACTTCTTTAGATCCTGGAACTCCCTTTGCTTTAAACACAATGTCCAACTATTGAGAAAGAAATTTCCCATAAAGAAAACCATAGTATTTCTTTGGTCACAGCTGAGAGGCATTTTTTTTTTTCTGATCTGGAAAACAACAATCACAGAAAGCAGGTTGTTTGCAAAATGAGATCTTAATTTACTTAAAAACAGAATAGTAAGATGAACCTACTAAAAGTAACACCATAGCACTGCTACAAATGATTTACAGTTGTTCACATTACTGCCATAATATTGGAACGATAAATGACATGCCAAGGGGCTCAAAGTAAATTTCTGGAGTTGAACTGCACAAAGCAAATTGCTGAGTTTGTGTCATATCCTACCGTGAGGATGGCATATCTAGAGCAAGGCTCAATCTAGAAGGTGTCTGGACTGAGGATTCTAGGGTACGATGAATAACAAATGGAACAAAGATGTCACCCACAGGAAGTGGGGACTACGGGACTCACTGTGGACACCTAAGCCACCGCCTCCCTATGCGATGAAAATCTGTTCTTCATAGCAATCCAGTATACATTCAAACAAGCAGAAGAACAACACGGGGTAAGGGCTACTTAACTAACTTATATTATCCTATTTTCCATGGAATTCCAGCAATCATAAGAAAAAGTTCCATCTTCTTGGTTTTGAATGTTTTAAATTAAAAGAATTTCCCTTCCCAACACTACAAATATGTACAATGACACATTAAATACAACTGTGCTTTCTAAAACCTGATACTTGACAGAGAGCTCTTCTTCAAAGCTCAACTGCAAGTTAAATTTTACTGCTTATCTTTTGTTTATCACCAACAAGAAAAAAATTGAGCTTGAGAACTGTAAGCTTATAACTGGGTAAATTATGTTTTGTATAAGAAATACAAGTATCCATATTTGGATTACTTTTGTATAGATGGGATATACAAAGGTGCCGACATTACAGGACTGAAAAAAAGAGCCAACTTGTTTTGCATTAAAACATTTTTTTAAACTTTCAAAACAATAAGAGACTAGTGGTCTCTTAAACACAGTTTAATGAATTTATCTCTGGCAATGTATTGTGATATGTTTGTGTGATAAACCTGATACCATGAAAACATGAAAATAATTTCTGGAATGTTTCATTTCTTAAGCAAAAATTTCTTAAATATGAAAATTGGGGGCTTCTTCTGTGCAGTAATAGGTAAGACCAGTCTGGTCTGAAGCCCATATCAAATATTTCAACATTTCATGCCTATATAATTGGCTTTAAAAGACTAAAAACTCTCTGTACAGTCTGTTTTTTTTATTGTTGTTTTTCTCAGTCCTTAATATCCTGGAGTCAGAACAAATGAAGAAGCCCCATCAGCTTCAGACCACGACACACAGCTTGCAAGAGTAAATGATTTATGGAGCTACAAGCATGAGTTATGAGGGAGCGGTCTACATATTTGCGTTGTGTAGCTATGCAGGGGGAAAGAGACAAATGAGATTCTTGAAACATTTGTGAAATATAGAAAGGAAGAAAATAGAAAAAAGTTAATAAGCTGCCTCAGATAGTAACTAATTAGATAGCAAGGTATTACTGACAAAATGAAACAAGAACAAAAGGCAACAAAAGTTGGTTTAGGGCCAAACATTATCTGTATTTTCACTTTTGGATCTCTACTCATTTCCTTTTTTTCCATTTCATTCAAAAAACTATTGTGCAAATCACCATTCTATTGTCTTCTAACATTGCCGCTATTTTCACTGGATTTTATTCAATTTAGGAATTAAATTAAAAGTTTCAACATTTCCAGTCATGTTATTCTTTCATGTTTTTTGCCTTAAGGAGTAGACCATAGACATCACCTATTTTAATAGTTTCATCTAGTCCAGAATCGGCACTTGGAGCTTCAAGCTGGGGGTTAGGGAGAAAGCACAGACACAGGCAGGCTGCTATGCTGGGCCCTAAGGGCAATGTCAAACTCAAGATTGCAGATACAGGCTGGGCGCGGTGGCTCACGCCTGTAGTCCCAGCACTTTGGGAGGCTGAGGCAGGTGGATCACTTGAGGTCAAGAATTCAAGACCAGCCTGGCCAACATGGGGAAATCCTGTCTCTACTAAAAATACAAAAAATCAGCCAGGTGTAGTGGCAGGCACCTATAATGCCAGCTACTCGGGAGGCTGAAGCAGGAGAATTGCCCGAACCTGGGAGGTGGAGACTGCAGTGAGCTGAAATCATGCCACTGCACTCCAGCCTGGGCCACAGGGTGAGACTCTGTCTCAACAATAACAACAAAAAAGATTTCAGATACAGAGCTGTTGGCTTTAGGAAATGCACAGAACTTACTGCTCCATAATACAAACAAAACTTTAAAAGGGTGATGACTGATTCCAGATTACTCTTGCTTTTATCTTAAGCTAATCTCTGTGTTAGGTAAGGACAAGCAGGTTTGAACGGCTGTTAGGACAAGGCATCATTGTCTACAGGTGTTATGATGACCATGAAGATTAGAAAGTAGTGAATCTGCCGGGCGTGGTGGCTCACACCTGTAATCCCAGCACTTTGGGAGGCCAAGGCGGCTGGATCACGAGGTCAGGAGATCAAGACCATCCTGGCTAACATGGTGAAACCCCTATCTCTACTAAAATACAAAAAAAAAATTAGCCGCGCATGGTTGGTGGTGCCTGTAGTCCCAGCTACTCGGGAGGCTGAAGCAGGAGAATGGCATAAGCCCAGGAGGCGGAGGTTGCAGTGAACCAAGATCGCACCACTGCACTCCAGCCTGGTCAACTGAGCAAGACTCCGTCTCAAAAAAAAAAAAAAAAAGTGAATCTTTGAAGTTTTAAAATAATGCTATCTATGGATAGAATAAAATAATCAGAATGGAAAGTGTAAAGATGACATATATATAGTGAGCATTCTTAAAACTGATTATCATTGATGTCCATCTATTAATTAGGCTGCCTTACAAAGGAACGGATTTTCTATCACTGGAGGCACTGTATATTTTTATAACTTGTTCCCAAACTTATGATTTTACAGACCAGTAAAATTTCTGTTCTTTTATTTAAGAAAATTAAGATATCTGATGCTAAGGAACAGTTAAAATTTTCACTGATTTCTGAGAGATGGCAAAATGCTAGTAAACAACACCTCTTCAAAAACAATAGGATTCTACTTCCTTCACTTCTGAATGTTTCTGAAATCGAAGATGCGGCAGAACCATCAATTCCAGGTTCACCTTGCCGGCAACCCTGCGTAATAGACTTAGCGTAGCTACAATTGGTTGTGCCTACGCAAAAATAGCCAACTGGGGAAAGTTATTTGGACTGGTAACACTAGAAACTATTTAAATTTTAACACGAGTGTCACACCACTTTGTTTAAATGTGTTCAAACAGAAGACACAATGTGGCACCGAAATGCAGCAATTGTGTGGAGGCAATCAAGTATCACAGGGCAGATAATGAATTCAATAAAGGCAGCTGAAATTGCCAAATCTTCAAAAGGTAGAAACAGATCGTGTGAAGAGTATCACTCATGTATCTAAATATCTTTATGGTGAAAGCTTCCTACTTTAAGAGTAGCTGTTCAACACTTAGTGATATGTGATTAAGAGGTAATTAAGAAGTTAAGAAGGCCAGGCTCATGGCTCACACCTGTAATCCCAGCACTTTGGGAGGGTGAAGCGGGTAGGTCACAAGGTCAACAGATCATGACCATCCTGGCCAACATGATGAAACCCGTCTGTACTAAAAATACAAAAATTAGCTGGACCTGGTGACACCCATCTGTAGTCCCAGCTACTTGGGAGGCTGAGGCAAGGGAATCGCTTGAACCCGGGAGGCAGAGGATGCAGTGAGCCCAAATTGCGCCACTGCACTCCAGCCTGGTGACAGAGTGAGACTGTCTCAAAAAAAGTTAAGACAACCTCAAATTTAAATAAAGAAATGTATTTTTAGAATATATTATTCAGACTATTCTGACTAATGGGAGATCTTCATAGGTAATACTCAGCAACACTCGTTAATAGGCATCTCTCCATTTGAAAGACTGCAAAACGCTGAATTCTGTTGTTTAGTGCACTGAATTTTAATCATTTAAAAATTGTGATGTCTTTAAATCAGGCATGCCATCTCCAGTTCTCAGTGGCTCCACTACTTTCCAATATTTGACCTCCAGTATCATGCTTTAAAATACCGGCCTGGCACTTGTGGACATTTGTGCTAATGGCCCTTGGTTTCCATTTATACCACTGCCATAACAATGACAAAATTGTCGAGGGTGAGTATTTGTTTGCACATTCTGTCCTATTTTCCTAAATAATATATTTTTTAAATCCTCATTTAAGTGCTTTCCATATTTTCCCACCATTTGAATCCCCCAGACCCCACCTCTACCTGGTGACATTCAAGATAATCGTAGCAGAGCAGCTTTAGCTGTCAAGAAGTCTGTCCTTTGCTAAGAGGTGGTAAGGATGGTTAATTATTCTGATCAAGTCTATTCGGTCTGTGCCAAGAAGAAAACTATGTTTCTGGAGGTAGGATGGAAGCAAAGTCACTAGATTTCCTTCCTTCTCCTTTTCATATTCCTTACAAGTTGCTGAGTAAGTATATTTTATTTGGAAGCATTTTGATAAATTCAATTAAACCTGCTGCCAGGCTGTAAGAATTTTTCTGTGTGTAGTTTGTGGGCAGAACATCATCAATCAGTTTTCTCCACCATTTTTGGTTTCTAGACTATTCCTGTAGTTAAATAAAAAGTATATTTACTATATTCTCAAATTATTTTCTTTCTGCTCTTTTTCTTAATAACTTACCTACTTACTGACACGTGATTGGGGACAGACAATATTTTACATTTCTACAAAGCATTTTATCTCATTTTTCTATTTCTAAAATGAAAATTTGAGTAAAGATGTACATCCTTAAATTCTGTACACAGAAAATATACTAAAATGAATCAACTTAATAATCAATTAAAGAAATTTTTTATTTAAAAATGGATAAGAATGTGTTTGAAATATATGGTTCAGTCTTAAACTAAACACAAAGCAGTTCTCCTAACTAAACAGCTGTTTTAAATCTATAGCTCTTCTGCTCCAGCATCCTAACAGCTGGAGGAAATTAGAGTCCAGAGAGACATGTGCATAATTTGAATTAAACAGATGCGGGCTGTGAAGACAATCAAACAACACAGGGTAAGAGATGCAAACAATATTACTGAAACTCCAAGGAGTTTTTATTTTTTATTTTCATAATGATGGCAAATGTGGCCATAGTTGTGATACAAACTACCTACCCATCCTAGTAAAAAGTCGTGACTTTTTTTCAAAAGTGCAAAAGGAAACATGCCAAATTCTAAATCAAAGCCAGGACAGGGCCATCTCTGTATTTTTCCATTTATAGCACTCTTGATGCCACGCGTTGACTGTGAGCTAGGGGTCGCTGCCTTTCCTGCCCCCGGCAGCCGGGCATCCCCTGAGGGGATCTGCATCCTGCAAAACATGCCAGGCCACTCACACCATCACATGCTGGCAGCTGTGGGGGCAGAAGACTGAGGAAGAGTGAGAGATGACCAGAAGCTGAAGGGAGACATATGTAAAGTAGAAAAGGAGTAACTTAAATGTCATTTTCTGATTCAAAATATGAGTGACCTGCTTTAATGAGCAAAACCCTGCATTTAAAGCCACAAGTAGTTCAAGCACTGAGGGCCAGATGGTACCCTTTGAAATTAAAGCGCTCTCAAATGGAACATAGCAGGGAACCTCCCTGTGCCCGACTGTGTAACAACACTTCTCCCAGATAATGTCCGTTAACGTTTATGGCTTTCGGTTTCTAGCTCAGTTCATGAACGTGTTTACGGGTCTTCTGTTGAGAAATCAAGAGTTAGTGTCCACGTGGCAGGTTTTCCAAGACCTAAGTGTGAACGTGATCATCACATTTCTTCCACCTCTTCACCTTCATAGTAGACTTTTCAATACTCCATGAACTCTTGATTACTGATATGAAGCACAATAAATATAGACAAGCATTTGGAAAACAGCCTGAGGGTTCTGTAAATAGCTAAACATTTTACCACATGACCCGGCAATTCTACTCTAGGTATACGCCCAAGAGCAGTAAAAACATAGGCCTATACAAAAGCCTGCACACAAATATTCATGGTAGCATCATTCACGATACTCAACAAGTAGAAACAACCCAAATGTCCATCAACTCATTAGTGGATAAATAAAATATGGTACATACATACAATGGAATATTATTTGGCAATAAAAATGAAGTGCAGATTCATGCTATGACATAGATGAAACTTGAAAACATTGTACTAAGTGAAAGAAGGCAATCACAAAAAGATATATATTGTGTAATTCCATTTATATGAAATGTCCACAATAGACAAATCCACAGAAAGTAAATTAATGGTTGCCAGGAACTGAGAAAAGGGAATGACTGCTACTGAGTATGAGGTTTTCTTTTGGGGTTGATGAAAGTGTTCTGAAATTGATTGTGGTGGTGGAGTGAAAACGCTCCCAAGATACTAAAAACCATAGAATGGTATGCTTAAATGGGTGAAGTGCATAGCATGTGGACTGCATATCAACAAAGTTGAGGCCAGCACTCAAAGAGATTGCAGAACAAGAATTGGAGTGTTCCTGGAGCTTCAGATGTAGGCTCCACGAAAAAGTGATGAAGAGAGAGGGACAGACAGTGTGTGTGTGTGTGTGTGTGTGTGTGTGTGTGTGTATGCGTGTGTGTTGAGGGGGGGGATGGCTGGAACCTGTGGAAAACACCCATTAGGAGGGCAGATGGACCCAGTGGCTGATGGTGTGCACGGTTCCTGCACACTCATGAAGGAATCCAAGCACACCCAGGGCACTCCTGCCTGCACCAGGGGAGCTGCAGGGAGGGCTCCTGTCAGCAGACCACTGCAGCCCCCAAAAGCCCCTTCTCAGGAGGAGGGGAGGGAGAAGCCAGCTAGAATCATCTGCGAGGGTGTGGGGCACCAGGACAAGGACCCACCCTGTACCCAGTCCCACCCCCCAACCCTGGAGGTGTCACAAACTGGGAAGCAGGCACAAGGGAACATACAGGTAGGCAAGGCAAAGAACCAGAGACAAAGCCCATTCCTTCCTTAGGCTCCAGGAAAAGCAGGTGCAAGCAGGGGCGGCAGGGGTGGGAGGGGTGTTGGTAAGAAGATCCAACATCAAATTAACTTCGACGTTCGTATTATTGTCTTGGCTTGGATGTTCTAATTACATCCTTAAGACTATGTCTGTGACTTCTAGTACCTGTAAGGAAGTTTGTTAAAGAGTGAATAAAAATGTCAGGGGACCTTCTGATTTCCCATCCAGGGACAGGGAAAAATTGCTCTTCCTCAACAAAAGGCTGGTGAGAGATGAAAATAGTTTTGTTTTGATTATATTGCAAAGTGTTCAACTTTATTATAAGATGTGTGATTAATAATAATAGCTAAAATCAACTGAGCTTAAGAAGACGTTTACATGCATGTGGTCAGTCCTCACAAAAACACTATGAGGTGTATAAATAAATAAATGTACAAGAATAAGACATTTACTATTCTCATTGCTCAGATGAAGAAACTGAGGCACACTAAGGTTGAGCCAGCAGGTGCAGGGTCAACAAGCTGGAACCCAGGAAGTTGGTTCTGCAGCCCAGTCCTAGCCCTGGAACTCCACAGTGCCCACAACGCTCCCAAGTGAAATATATGATGGAGCATCTATGGGAGGTGAGGTTAGGGGGATTTTACTTTTTGAAAAATGCTTTTTGGTATTTGAAATATTCTCATATAAACATCCATGACCTATAATGACAGAGAGAGAGAGACAGACACAGAGATAGAGACAGAGCCAGAGACAGGGACAGGGACAGGGACAGGGACAGAGAAAGAGAAAGAGAGAGAGAGAACCATTTTAGAAAGTTGCTGGACCAGGGAATATTTTGCACAACATGAAATGATTACTTACTATCCTCCCTCCTGATTTGGGAAAATTTTAGAAAATTACAGTGGAAAGCAGCAGCCCCCAACCTTTTTGGCATCAGGGACTGGTTTCGTGGGAGACAGTTTCTCCACAGACTGGAGCAGGGAGATGGTTTCAGGATGATTCAAGCGCATTACATTTATTGTGCACCTTATTTCTATTATTTGTACTTTGTAATATATAATGGAATAATTATACAGCTCACCATAATGTAGAGTCAGTGGGAGCTGTGAGCTTGTTTTCCTGCAACTAGATGGTCTCATTGGGAGTGATGGGCAACAGTGACAGATCATCAGGCATTAGATTCTCATAAGGAGCGTGCAACCTAGATTCTTCACATGTACATTTCACAATGGCGGGGAGGGGGGACTCCTGGTGTAAAGCATTATGTTTAAAATACCATAGCCTGAGATCAAAATTTTAGGCACAAATTTAATCACATTGAATCCTTTGTCTTCTATTAGTTAAAAGGTTGTCCTGCTGCCATCTTGGAATGAGTGCAAGTTGGAAAATCTAGATCCGAGGGTTTCACATCTGAGCATGCATAACAGTGCCCTGGAGAGCTGCTAACAGTGCAGATTGCCTGCATCCAGCCAGCAGAGTCAGGGAGATTTCAGGGGAGCCCCTGCCCAGTGGAACTCTTAAAACTGCATTTATAACAACCTTCCCATCTCCTTTCTAGGAGATTCGGATACAGACAGCCCATGGCAAATGTTCTGAGGAGTAATATGGTATTATTTTTAAAAGCTAACACCCATAAATACTACATTAAATTAAAATTCAGGGATGAATGAAGGACTTGTAGCTATGACTCTGTAGCTCAGAGACATAAAAAGTGTAAGAAGCAAAATTATTACTCACTAAGAGATAAGCAGGAAAAAGATGGGGACACTTACAGTTTTAACGGCTTACCTCTTTTGTAGAGCCAGAAAAGTCAGCAGCGGTTGGAACTCTGGTAACAATACAGTTTTGGTCTTCTACTTATGTACTCTCTTCTCTATTACTAAATTTTAAAAACCAGAACAGCAAACCTAAATCAAGCGATACAGTCGAGCTCAAAGAAAGACTGAGCTCAAATGCCTTACGTCTGCCCCAAGAGAAGCTAGCATTGAACTCACACATCCTCCCTGTGAGCACAGGCTTGCCAGCCACAGCTCACCACCGCTTTCTTATGACCCAAACTCATGTCCAGAGATCTCTGATTCTCCTTAACAGAACTCCAGGTAATCATTAATAATTGAGAGGAAACAGGCTTACTTGGAAATCTTATTATGCACGATGTTTATCAATAACCCTCCATCAGGAAGGAAGCAACAGGCAGCACCTGCGTGGCTGTTTTGTGCCAGGCACTCTCTGGATACTTGCCTAACATTATTACCCTCACAGCGCCCTGAAGATCAGATGTTATCCTGATTTTTATTATCCCTGTCTTCTCAAGTAAAGAATCTAGGCTGTTAAGAACAATAACTAATTTACCTGCCATCCCATGAGACACAGTTGATGGAGCTAAGACCCAGGGTGGTTCCTTGTGACTTTCAACTTTCCCTTTGATATTTTGGCCTCTCTTAATTTAGCTACATGAAATGTTAACCTATTATGTACTCTTAGTTCAATTTTTTGGTTTATTTGTAATCAGAAATGATACAATATGGCACCTTCTCAATGAGTCCATCAATTCATATCATTGTCTATTAACTCAGGATGGCTAGCTACTCATTAACAAATGTCTACCAAATTCCTCCATGGCCTTGCTAGATAGTATAAATAAACAGGAGAAGAACAACGCATTACAGGAAAACAGCAACAGTCTACTGCAAACAAGGAGAATCAAGTAAGTAAGGCAAAGACACTAAAGGACTCAGGAACATCATTACATAATGTTGACCAGTAACTATTAATATAATGCAATATAAAATAGGAATGCAAAGGTATTGACTGAAGGAGCTACAAAATTAAGAGATATTCTACTAAACTATTAAAGTATGTATTCTATTTATAAAATAAAAATAATTTATCTAAATAAGTTAAATAGGAAGTAATATCTAATTTCAGCAAGGAAAGCTTATCTTCAAGTTTAGATGAAGTCCTTAATTACAAGTAACTATCACATATGGCTGCTCTGGGACCCACAATTTGAGCTGAGCAGCAGATCATGGTTTGCCACTGGGAATTCTTTAGTCTTGTCCAGGAAAGATTCTTAGAATCTGCATAATGGAAACAGTTACTAAGACACCATGTATGTATGCTTTACTTGCTAACTTCAAAGAGTTCTAGAGTTCTGTTTTCATATTTTCTGAGTTATTTTGTTTTAGCATGAAAGTATATTTAGAAAGAAGGGCTACTTAATAATATTTCTTTAATCAAATTCTTCATATAAAAACTTCTGGTCCAAATACCATTTCTGCTAGAAAAATTTACCTGCCCCTAGTATACAACAGTAACATTGCTGTCAAGCCAGTGATGCATCATTGATAGAAATGCATTGGCCACAGCATGAAACAGTATCACATGGTAGTTTTTATGCCACTGCACATGAGCTGACAGCCTTACTTGGGTCTTGCATGTAGAGCTCTCACAGGGCAGGGAAGGTCCAGAATACAGCAGGTTTGACTGCACATCCCAATATTAGTGGTACTTTTAAAAAATGACTTTGGGTCACAGAGTTCTTTACGAGTAAGAACTGGGGATAATTGAGAGGGCTCAGGTATCTGCTACTTTTAAAAATGGCTTATAGGACATTAAGAGTCATAAGAAGGAGGCTGGGTGCAGTGGCTCACGCCTGTAATAATAGCACTCTGGGAGGCTGAGGCGGGCGGATTGCCTGAGCTCAGGAGTTCGAGACCAGCCCAGGCAACATGGTGAAACCCTGTCTCTACTAAAATACAAAAAAATTAGCTGGACATGATGGCGTGCACCAGTAGTCCCAGCTACTTGGGAGGCTGAGGCAAGAAAATTTCTTGAACCCGGGAGGCAGAGGTTGCAGTGAGCCGAGATCGCGCCACTGCGCTCCAGCCTGGGCGACAGAGCAAGACTCCATCTCCAAGAGACCAAAAAAAAAAAAAAAAAAAAAAAGCATCATAAGAAGGAAAGTAAAAATGATTATTCTTCTAGTCGCTTTCTGGATTCTTTGCCTTTCATTGCTTCTATAGTACATATTAATATTACAAAGAAATCTGAATTGGAATAGACAATCATTTCCCTTACATATAAAAATGTAACTGAATAAAGACATTACCCTAACCATCCTGGGGTTACATTCCTAGATACTCTTGGATTCCATCTACACCTTCTCAACTAAGCACTTACAGATGTCTGGCTTTATATATGTACACATCAGTAACTAGAACTAAGTGTTGAGGTAATGAACAACAAGGAGATGACAGAGTGACTAACTCTGGCCATGATGAAAATGGCAGATCTAAGATGGAAATTATACTAGGAAATTCCCCAATCCTAGAAATACAGTTGGCCTTCCTCCCTCCCTTCCACCTTCCCTCCTTCCTTCCCTTTTCCTCTTTCATTTTTTATTTCCTTTGTAAGACATCTAGACAAAGTTTAGGTGCTATATAACTCAGGGACAATCTTCAGCTTCATTGTGTGAGATTTTATTCATGATTGCCTTATCACACACAATGACAGGGAGTAGGAGAAACCTCATTTGAGTATATAATCTGCTGAGTGTGATGCAAATGTCAGTATCTGTGGTATCTTTGCAGTTACAACCCACTGGTTTCCTCTATTCTCTTACCACTTAGAGGTGAATTTCTAATTCTAGGAACTGGTCGTCATCAGAAATTGATGAAGACTTCAAGACGTTAAATCAATTCAGCCACTGCTACATGGTACCTTATAGAAGAGACCATTAATTATACTAAATAATGTCTATTCATTTATTCAACAAATATTTATCCAGTGCCTACCCACTGGATAAAAATAACCACCCTGAGTGTTTAGATGAATGCCTAATGACAAGGGTGATGCTTATGCCATTCTAAAAGTGATGAATTGAACTGAACATTTATTTCCACACAAAAACCTACACACAGATGTTTATAGTAGCTTTGTTCATAATTGCCAAAGTTTGGAAGCAACCAGCGTGTCCTCATAGGGTGAACAGATAAATAAACTGTGGTACATTCCATTCAGACAAGGAAACGCCATTCAATGCAAAAAAAGATATATGTGACCAAGCCATGAAAGGTACAAAAGAAACTTAAATGAAGATTATCAAGTGAAAGAAGGCGATATGAAGAGGCGACTTTATGATTCTATCTATAGGACATCCTGGAAAAGGCACAGCTATAAAAAGGGTAAACAGATCAGCGGTTGCTCAGGGTAGAGGGAAGAAATGGGTGATGAGGTAGAGCACAGAAAATCTCTAAAGCAGTGAAAAGACTGCACAATCCTACAGTGTTGGATCCATGTCACTAAACATTTGTCCAGGCCCTAGAATGTACAACACCAAGAGTGAACCCTAATGTAGAGGACTGGCTCTGAGTGACAATGATGTGTCAATGACCAGTTGTAAGAAACGTACCACTGGGGGTGTGCCGGGCGTGGTGGCTCACGCTTGTAATCCCAGCACTTTGGGAGGCCGAGGCAGGTGGATCACTAAGTCAGGAGTTCAAGACCAGCCTGGCCAAGATGGTGAAATCCCGTCTCTACTAAAAATACAAAAAAATTAGCCGGGTGTGGTCATGGGGGCCTGTAATCCCAGTTACTCAGGAGGCTGAGGCAGAGAATTGCTTGAACCCGGGAGGTGGAGGTTGCAGTGAGCCGAGATCACGCCACTGTATCCCAGCCTGGGTGACAGAGCAAGACTCTGTCTCAAAGAAAAAAAAAAAAAAGAAAAGAAAAGAAATGTACCACTGGCGGATGGGGGTGGGAATGTTGATAGTGGGGAGGTTGTGTGTAAGTAAGGGAATGAGGTTGAGAATTTTCCACAATTTCCACACAATTTTGCTGTGAACCCAGAACTGCTGCTCTAAAAAACAAGTTTCATTAATTAAAAATCAAATTGCTGCTTTCAAGGTTCATGGTTCACAGCCACATAGGAGATGGGTGTCTTAGCCTCATGTAAGGTGGAGAATTAGAACTAAAATCCTTATGTAGAATGGAGTCCTAGAAAACCAATGACTTTCGTTAAAGGATTGACTAGAAAAAAAAAAAATCTACCCATCAGAACAGGTAGAAGAAAACTTATTGACCTGATACTAGACCTTACATTTGATGGTTTGTAATCAGAGATCTGCTCTTCCTTCGACAAAAGGTTTAACCTTATACTATTTATATAGTCCATTTTTCACAACGCTGAAAAATAAACATAAAAAAGTAGTTACACACTGCATGCCAGAGACAAGCTTAAAACTATGGTGAAGAGACACACTGCCAGCCTGCCACGAAGCAGCCCCACAAAGCCCAAGAACTCACATTCTAACACAGAAACCTTGTGAAAATATAATCTTCCAAGGGAGAGAAGCAATACACCCAGTCACCATCAGGATTAGTTACCTAAGAACCACAGACACAGAATTTTGTACAGATATCATTAAATTACTATTTTTCAAATGATTAAAGACTTAATGGAAGAACATTGAAATATAAAACAAGAGCAGGATTCCATCAGAAAAGGCAGTGACATTGGAAAAAGAATCACATAGAAAACCCATCAATGAAATATCCATTCTTTGAATGCCACTGGGAATGCAAAATGGCCCAAAAATGGTACAACTATGAATATACAACTAAGGGCAAAAGAAAGGTATGATTAAATTACCTGGAATGCAGCACAAAGAGATAAAGTGATGAAGAACTTAGAGAGGAAGTGAGAGGTACTGAAAAAGGAATAAAAAGTCCAACATATAATGAACTTATATTCTAGAATTAGAGGAAAATGCAAAAGGAAGAGAAGCAATATTTGATGACACTGGTGTATATTTTTCTAGAACCGATACGAATGTTCTCATACAGGAATCACAGTGAATACGGAAAGAAAGCCAAAGCTGAACGCATGGATGTGATAGCGACTAACCACAAAGATTTGAAATGATTTCTAAAGCTGCAAGAGAGAAACAGATTACCTCCAAAAATACTGCAAGTAGACTCATAGCATACTTACCAGTAGCAAAGATAAAAGCTATACGCTATGTCTTCAAAGGACTGCAAAAGAATAATCTCAATATAGAATTATCTTTCCTGTAATTCAGAAAATAAGACAAGTTATTCCTAAAGAACAACAAGGTGGGTGATGTGAAATGCCTTGTCAGATACCGCAAATTATAATAAAACTATAGTAATATAACAACGTAGTATTGGTGCAGGGAAAGACAAATAGACAAACAGAACAGAGTAGACGGTTCAAAATAGATCCAGGTATACATAGAAACTATATATATGTCAAAGGTGTCCTTATGAGGCATGACTGTTCAATCATGGGAATACACAACAGGTGATCCCTGTGAAGAAAATAAAATAAAACTGGATCTTGCGTGGACAGCACATGTACACAAAGATAAAGTCCAGTTGTTAAAGACCTATATTTAAAAACTAATTTTCTTTTTTCTGAGACAAGGTCTGGCTCTGTCACCCACGCTGTAATGCAGTGGCACAATCTCGGCTCACTACAACCTCTGCCTCCTGGGCTCAAGCCATCCTCCCACCTCATCCCCAAGTGGCTGGGACTACAGGTGCACCAGCTTGCCTGGCTAATTTTCATATTTTTTTGTAGAGACGGGTTTCACCATGTTGCCCAGGCTGGTGTTAAACTCCTGAGCTCAAGGGATCCGCCCACCTGGGCCTCCCAAAGTGCTGGGATTACAGGCATGAGCCACCATACCCAGCCAAAAACCAAAACTTTAAAATGTATACAAAAATATTCTTTAAAAATATTCAAGGCCACAACATATGAAAACTTTCACATTAGACACAGAAGATACAAATCATAAACAAAGATGAAGTAAGTTTTCCACATTAATGTGGGAAATCTTATACATCCAATAACAGCATCAAAGTTAAGGAGACAAACCAGAGGTTGACAGGTTATTTGTTTCCTACGTTAGCCCCAAAATACTAATATACATTGTGCATTAAAATAATTCACATTTTAAAACCATCACAGGCCCATGAGAAAGTTTGGCCAAAGTATACTAAATGCTCAGAAGACAAAATGCAAATGAATAGTAAATGTGAAAAGATGCTTAATTGAGAAGTAATTAGAGAAATGCAAGTTAAATCTACAATGACAGAAAAGTTTACACCAGTCAGGCTCAAAATTTAAAAGTCTGAAAATATTAAACGTTGGCGAGGATGTGAATAATTGGGAGTTAAATTGTTATGATCACCTAGCAGAGCAATTATTTAGTATCTATTAATAGTAAAGCTGAAGTTATTGGTGCACAAATACCACACCCAGGAATTGGTCTAGAGAAAGTCTTATACCTGTGCACAAGACTTGTATAAGAATGTTCAGTGCAGCACTATTTGTGAAGCAAAAAAATTAGAAACACCTTAAATTCCCAATAGCATGAGAATAAATCCATTGTGATGTCACACATGGTATGCTATTCATTAGTGAACACAGGTGACCTACTGCTATATCCACTAACACGCATTAATCTCAAAATATGATTGAACAAATATGTTCAGTTGCATACAATAGGTAACATCATATCATTTATTTAAAGTTTAAAAGCATGCAAATTAGCAGTATTCCATATTACTTATAGGCTGGTAAATAAATGTTTTTTTTTCTTTTTTTTTTTGATGGAGTCTCGCTCTGTCGCCCAGGCTGGACTGCAGTGGCGCAATCTCGGCTCACTGCAAGCTCCACTTCGCGGGTTCACACCATTCTCCTGCCTCAGCCTCCCGGGTAGCTGGGACTACAGGCGCCCCAGACCACGCCCAGCTAATGTTTTGCATTTTTTTTAGTTGAGACGGGGTAATAAATGTATTTTTTAAAGTATAAAAACATAGTTGATAATGACAAATCCCAAGTTCAGGATAATAGTTACCTCTGTAGAGAAGGAAGAAATGGAACACAATCAGAGAGCAGTACATCCATCGCTTCAGTTTTAGTTGTAATATTTTTCTTAAGTTGAATGGTGGGCCCACTAGTATTTGTCATATAATTCCCATATTGTTTTCCATCCCTGGGGTTTTGCAATAACAATTACAAATATGTATCTCCCTACAAAGTTTATACAATGGTTTATATATAATTCATTCATCTTTGACTTGTAATGGAAATCTGACTTGCACAGGAAGTCAAGATTGCTAATGTCAGACTTGCAAAAGAACAAGCATGCTAATCAAATTCAAAGTCACTAATGTAATTTCCATGTATTTCTATTATAGTTCTCGATTTAGATTCTACATCTAACCTCATCTTGACTGAGAATGTATGTATAGATTCTCAAATAAGCTTTATCTGAAGAATGTCTTACTATATATTATTTGGTAGCACTAGGTATCAAACACTGAGGCTCAAATTTATATTTCTGTTCTGTTCTAACCTCAACAACAGACAGATAAACAAACTTCCTACTGGAGATCGCCACCTAAAATTTATTTGAAACCTTAAACCTCTCAAATAAAGTTTATTTGAACTGCCCCTCCCACAATAACCCATTCCTCTTTTTCTTCCACTCTCCTCTGTGCCTGGTGGCATCAACATCTAACATGAGTTCTATATCTCACATAGCCAAGTATCAATGTGTCATACTTCAATTTTCTCTTTCCCTTGCATCTCACAATGCGTACATCTGCTAGTCCCATTGACACAACCTCTAAAACATCACAAAGCTACATGTGTCCCTCCATTACAACGTCTAGTACCCTAGCGAAGCCCCATGCTCCGTCCCCCAAACACCTAGACTAGCCTCCCAATTAGCCTCCTTGCTTCCACCAACTTCCAGCCACACTTACCTCCCTTATGGCCTTGGCATGTGCTTACCTAATGCCCACTCTAGGTCCTTTGCTCCCTCTCTCTGGAATGATTTTCTGCAGATATTCCCAGGGCTGGCTCCTTTAGCTTTCAGCTCAAACTTCACCTTCCAAGAGAAGCTTTTCCTAAATTTCCAATATAAGGTAGTGTCACCAGTCCTCAGCCTATTTTAATTCTTTCCAAGCACTTATCACTAACTGAAATTTACCATTTTTATTGCTTTACTTGCTTTAAACCTGAAGATTGTATTTGGTTGCATGTACCGGAATACTGACTACAGAAGTATAACCAATTGGGGTTTATTTTTCGCATGTTACAAGAAGTCTAAACAAAAGCCATCTAGAACTGGCTGGGGGCTCCCTGATGCCCTCAGCAACCCAAGTTTCTTCTATCCTTCTGCCCTGTCCTTTTAGCACGTGGCTTTTATCTTCATGGCACTCTGACTAAAAGCATTAATAACCTTCTTGCACATGGAATGCAGGCTCCACAAGAAAAGGGACCTTGTCTGTCTTACCCATCACCGGAAGAATGACAGGTGCTGTGTTAACAGCTTGATCAGCTAGAGCAGTGAAAGAGGAACTCAAGAGTCCTCAACCTCAGCATCATTCCTGCATCCTGGGAGTCCTGCACCACAGCCTCCATTCATTGGCCCTGGAGATTCTACCCGGATTTCTCTTCTCATGAAGCCCTGGCCTTCATGGCCTTCTTTATTGGCCCTGCCTTAGTCCAGGGCTTAGTCTCACGCTACAGTCTCCTAAGTGGCCCGCCACCTGCCCCATTTCGCCTGCCACCCTGTCACACCCACGACACAAACTGATCATATTCATCTCTAGAACTCTTATGTTTTCTTAAAGTCTGCACTCAAATAGAAAGCTCCACAAAAGTGGGGACGCACCGGTCCTGCTTACCACTGCTCTCCAGGCCTAGGAACCAGGAGTGCTTGCTGTGGAGGAGACACTTGGCAAGTATTTATTAACAGAATCCAAGGAAGCATCTAAATTCCCGAAGATTATGTGCAAAGCCCCTCTGCGTTTGACCCGGCTCATCCTCTTCCCGGTATCACCTTCCTCATTCTCACTTTTGCCATTTGTTTAGTCACAGCAAATAATTGTAATTCTAAAGTAGTGCCAGACCTTTGCATCTTTTATTTTATAATATCTGCATAAAATATTCCTTCCTTTTAAAATCAGAAATCTTCTGTTCATCACTTAATTCCCAGCTTATGATTCTCCTCAGCTTAGAGGCCTTACTGACTCAGCCTAGGGGAGCAGACAGTGCCTCCTGGATGCAGCACTTTGATGATGATGACGATGACGACGACGACGACGATGATGATGATGATGTTAAAATCACAATGCCAGCAACTGACATCATGGGGTGTTACAACGTACAAGGCACTCTTGTAAGTATTTCTGTTTGGTGACTCATTTAACCCTTGTAGCAACCCCATGAGGTAGATAACACAATTTTTCTCATTTTAGGAGAGGAACTGAGGCACAGAGACATTAACTAATGCACCAAAGGTCAAAATGGCATAAGCTACATTCCAACCCATGTGGCCCACCTCCTAATCCATGCACTATGACTTGTGGACATATTTGTACACTGTGACCTGAAAGATTGTTGGGAGCAGGGCTCATACCTTATGATACATAATGGGTGCCCAATAAAAGACCGTTGAGTGAACAGATTTTAAAACAATCAGTTGTATAAATACAGAATGGGGAAACTGGCTTACATATATATATATATATCTTGTAAAAACAGAGTTGGGGTTTAAATGGACTGTATGGCTCTCTAAGTCATATCATTGATCCTAAAAATAAATTACAGGCCACATTAATAGGCAGATTATACCAAGGGGCATGTAGTAACTCCAGCATAGATCAGGCCACTTTGAGAATCTAGTACAGTCCTCTCTCTTTAGAAAAGACCAAATGGAGTTCGTCCAAAGTAGGTAAAACATATGGCTGCTAAAATAGGAAGAGAAATAACTGAAGGGCATATGGATTATCGTCAAGTATCTGAGAAAGTGTTATGTACAAAAATTTCTTCTGATTTAAAAGGGCAGAACAAATCTAAGGGTGGAAGAACAATGTGCTCAGATAAGGAAGCAAATTCCAGTTGTGTGTGCTGGGCCCACTCAGGCTGCCTCCTAAGAATGGACAGGGAACACCTCTTCCCAACGCCGCCTTCAGTGTTATTATGTTGGTCCCTTAAAAAAAACAGGGCTGGCAGGTTTTGCAGGGAAACTCCAAAGTGACAATCAGAGCTTTGTATTTATAGAGAGTCAGTTTACCTGCTTATCACTGCATTTATCCCATTTAGTTGCTAAAAAAAAAAAGAAAAAAATGGACTTGGTTGCCTTGTGGAGAATGGATAGTAGTTGAGCCTTGTGGTGAATGGATAGTAATTGAGAATGCGGCAGAGAGAGATGACTTCGTAACCAACAGATACATATCATCAATGCGCACAGAAACTTAAGGAGGGGCCAATGTGATACGCGAACTGTTGTCAGTCCTTTACATTTAGTTATTTTTAAATTTATTTTTCAGGAAGTATCTATAAAAACACTATATGTAAAACTATTTATAGGTCAGGAGGCTGAGGCAGGAGAATTGCTTGAACTGAGACCCAGGAGGCAGAGGTTGCAGTGAGCCAAGATCGCGCCACTGCACTCCAGCCTGGGCTACAGAGCAAGACTCTGTCTCAAAAAAAACAAAACAAAACAAAAACAAAACTATTTATAGGTTAAACACTCTTTATAAGTAAAACTCATTTATTTAAAGAAACAGACTGATATTTTTATAGTTCTCTCATCAATCTCTTCTATTAAAAACAAACAAAATACTAAAAGAAAACTGCCAATCATTTTGAATAAGAGATGGTCCACTACATTCCTCCACCAGAGGCAAGAATTAAAAATTTACCAAGTCAAGCAGGAAACCCTAAAAGATTATCAACAAATGTATTATATTTTTCAAATTCGTAATGCAAAATCTATAGGTATGTTTTCTAATCAGTCCAAGACTCCAAAGTAATTAGTGAATTTATTGCCATTTTCAAAAAGTAATACCCCTTGATATTTAAGTTTCAATAGTATGGTTTTAATAAACTGAAATGAATCATTAGAAGAATTTCCCCCCTTTATCATAACTGATTAAGTCTATTTTAAAGCTTATATGCCCTCTTCAGGGAAATCTTTAAAAATTTCCAATTGTTTATATCAGTGAACAGGGCTGAATAACCAATGTATAATTGGTTAAATCAGATACATTATTTCCCCCTCAAAACAATGCCATTGAGTTGAAGGCAAAGGATAGAAATGAACTCACCAGCTATATACAATATTATATGACATAAGCAATATTAAAGATTGGTATATAAGAAACCAAGCTTGGCTGGGCGCCGTGGCTCATGCCTGTAATCTCAGCACTTTGGGAGGCCGAGGCAGACGGATCATGAGGTCAGGAGTTCAAAACCATCCTGGCCAACATGGTAACACTCCAACTCTATTAAAAATACAAAAATTAGCTGGGTGTGTTGGCACGCAGCTGTAATCCCAGCTACTAGCAGGGCTGAGGCAGGAGAATCGCTTGAATCCAAGAGGTGGAGACTGCAGTGAGCTGAGTTCACACCACTGCACCCCAACCTGGCAACAAAGCGAGACACCGTCTAAAACAAACAAACAAACAAACAAACAGAAACCGACCTTTAAAATAAATACAAACACAAAAAGATTAGTATGTATTTAATCTGCAAGGCTAAAGCCACACAACTGGATTTCAGTGTACTACAAAATGACAGATCATATAAATTCAAAATCTTCATTCTGCTTATCAATTACAGAGGCAAAAATATAACTATTTAAGTGGGTCTTAGAATGTATTTTCTCTTCAGAGTGCTTCCTGATCCTCTTGCCCTCTATTTTACATTCAAGCGACTCATGAATTCTTAGGAGAAATCTGAAATTACTTCATGCCCCTTGTTAAACAGATTTTGAATGGTAAGTACTCCTGCAAAATTGCTCCCCCAAATAAAATTTCACATACAGATACATTCAGTGCATTAAAAAAGTAAACTCCATTAGAATAGAATATAGTATTTTCTTAAGATAACTGTTTAGACTTAACTCAAAGGAGTTCCCACAAATATATTCTGTTCTCAGTTAGTTCAAGTGTGGAATAGGCAATTTGGCATGGGGTAAATCTGTCCCCTTTTGCAATGTTTTAAAACAGAATAAATCGTGGGATGAATTTACTGCGCATTACAAATAAAATGTTTATATTTTCTTTGTGAATTATTCATCAAATTAAACTAATAACATGTTAAAATTTGCTTATGTGTCAGTCCTTTGTAGGTAAAATTTCATATAACACTCAAAACAAACATATAAAATATAGGCATTATTACTATCTACACTTCATATAGATCAGAAAAATAAAGACTGGAGAGCTTAAATGACTTGTCCTTCCCAGAGAGTCTGACTTTAGAGTGATTCATATCTACTGTACTTCATTATAACAGTGTATTTGAAAGTCTAGTTGAACTCTTAAGTGATTTCATCTAGTGTATGACATTCTTGAAGTTTTGACTTCTCATTTATATATAGCAATAAGCACATGTGTAGGATGGCATCATAAAACTCCCTTGGAATGAAAAAAACATATAAAAAGTTTTAGGCTCCTACAAGAACAGCATGTATCTCAATGTTCCTCAAAATGAGAATTGACTCCAAGGTACAAAACAGGTAAACTGAGGAAGCAGATGTTAATTAACCACTTTAGCAGGTTCTGAAGTTCTTAGTGTCCAAGGTTTAAATAACACTAGAACTATCTTAAACAAATGTTTGTGTTTATTTCCTGTTTTCTGAACAATGTTTTTGATGAATTACGCATAGATGGAATGCAAACACACAGACCCAATTCCCTTTGAAATATGTAAGCCTATAAAAATGAGCAGAAAATATCCTTGGCAAAACCTGCACTGAGCTTTCAAAAGCCCACATATTTGAAATTGAGTTTGTGATGTACTCAAAACACAAACATCAGTGGGTTCTCGCATTCCTCATTTCTCCCTCTAATGTCAGAATATTCTATTAATTTAAAAAGCAGAGTTCTGTGCCATAATTAGTCTACATATTAAATCTTATCTGAGTGACACCTCTGAATGCAAAGTATCCAGAACAAATAATAAGACAAGAAACATTCCATGCAAAATAAAATTCAATGACAGAATAAAATCTTCAATCCAATGCAGTTTACACAAGTACACCCACAAAAATTATAATTTTTCCCAGGAAATGCATTCCCCAAATGAATGTATGCTTCTCTGTGTGAAGACATATATGTACAAAAGGCTAAAACATTTTTTAAAAATCCAAAAACAATTGATACTAGAACACTATACTGACACCAACTTTATAAATCATGGGCTTGCCCAACAATTCAGTAAATACTTGATGTTCTGCCTCCATTCAAATGAGTCTGTGCATCCTCTGATTTAGCACATGGCCAAAGAAAGATCTTTCAGCCCATCCTTCTGTGCTTTACAAAGGCTACTATGGCAATCTTCACTTGTCCAATGTGAATTTCAGTTAATTTAACTTCTGCTGCTAAATTGTTTATGATAATTTTATTTTTATCAATATTAAACCTAATATTTGAAAAAAAAAGTTAACACAACATATTAGGCCAGACTCTCCCATTCCCATTTAATTGTGTTTTCTGTGTCTTATGGGCATCACTAAAGTTATACTTTAACATAAACTATTATAACATAAAGGATCACATCCCACACATTTAACTTCATCTGCCATTTAACTTATATCTAAGGAAGATCAATGCTGGAATAAATATTTACTAATGGTAACTTATTAATTAAAGCTATGACCCAAGCCCATATATAAATAGAAAATGAAGGAGCACACATACTCCCATATGTATTCATCATAAGTGAGTTTGGTATATAAGCTTCAAAGAAGTTTCTCATATACAATCTTATTGTTCCTTGACAGTCATCTCAGGCTTGTTACAATGACTTAGTAAAAAGGGAAAAAAGTAAAGATGGAATTTCAGTGAATCATCTTTGGGTTCAGAGCTTTTGGGTGTATAGACACAACCTCTCATTTCTTAAATTCTTCCCTAAAGGATGATGACTGTATTAAGCAAAATCTCAGATAACATCAGGTCAATTGGATGATGGAATCTTAGTCCAATAATGGAGACAACAGAATATCTGAAACTAGGACTTCAGTGAACAGTAACACAGTTTCAGTATGGCATCTCTTCTCTGTCATTTATCAGGTTTCCTGTACCCTAATAAGATGCATCCTATGTTAAGAGTTTGGAGATTGGATTGCTGCAGAGTTTCACCCTCTCACACATTGCTTGCCTTGGAATGTGAGTGTAATCACAATGGAAACATCTATGAGATGAGAGCCTATTAAATGAATCCACAGACTATATATCTTCAGCATCTTATAAGCTATAAGAATCTTAGCTTTTTTTTTTTCTTCAAGTCTATGCTTATTGATGGCAATCCTCAGAGATGTTTTGTAAGTCCACATGGGCACAGAAATGTCAAGGCTTCCTTTCAAAGAAAAATAACATTTCTGAGAGTTCTGAATTATGCAAAGAGGTAAGTCATTCAGGGATACTTTCTGACATGTAGAGGCAACCAGACACAAATAGATGAAATAACGGTCTTCCCAAAGTGAGCATTTGCCCTGTACAGATGATCATTCTTTGATTCTAGACTCGGACACGTAGCAACACTTACTAGTTCGTATAATAATGTACCTGTTCTTTGGAGGAACTCAAGAGGATATGTACATTTGCCTAAATAAAGGAGGCCAGCAGTAAGTTCCATTTGCAAGGCAAACCTTCAGAGAGAAGATGCTTGTATCAGTCCTGTAGTGAATGAGCATCTCATTTACATGACCAATCTCTTACACAGAAATAAATCACTGCGTGACTGTGCTCTGGGTATAATGGTATTGAGCCTGGCCTCCTTTTATCTTATAATCAGTTAAAATAGGAACTATATTGGTCATTTGCAGAATTCTTTTATATACAAACAAAAAATCATGGTGGAAATGTATTCAGTGCTCTAAATTGATACTAGCCTCTTTCTGTTTTATAGTCAATAGAAAAAGCAATCTCTACTAAAAATACAAAAATTAGCTGGGTGTGGTGGTACATGCCTGAAATCCCAGCGACTTGAGAGGCTGAGGCAGGAGAATCACTTGAACCTGGGAGGCAGAGGTTGCAGTGAGCCAAGATCATGCTATTGCACTCCAGCCTAGGCGACAGAGTAAGACTCCATCTCCAAAAAAAAAAAAAAAAAAAAAAAAAAAATTTGAATAAATTACCAAAAAAAACCATGAAATTTCAATAAATTTAGTTCAGAAATGAAGCCATTACATCCCTAAATTCTATTACATAAATATGTTACTAATGTTTACTCTATAACCACAGCAGATCATCTGTTTCCTTTTTTTTTTTTGAAACAGAGTCTCTTTGTGGCCCAGGCTGGAGTGCAATGGCGCAATCTTGGCTCACTGCCACCTCCGCCTCCCAGGTTCAAGAGATTCTCCGCCTCAGCCTTCCACGTAGCTGGGATTACAGGTGATTTTTGTATTTTTAGTAGAGACGGGGTTTCACCATGTTGGTCAAGCTGGTGTCGAACTCCTGACCTCGTGATCTGCCTGTCTTGGCCTCCCAAAGTGCTGGGATTACGGGCATGAGCCACTGTGCCCGATCTGGCTCATTTATTTCCTAAAATTATAATGTATGACTAACAAATCAATTTAAAAACTATGTACAACTGGAGTACACAATTGTCAAGAACTATTTACTTTTGCTTAGTTTAAATATTTGGTAAAGAGTTTGCAAATAAATACTCATCATGTCTATTCAGATCTATAATGTGCTAAAAATTCTGTTTAAGACTTCAAGAAAGAGGCCAGGAGTGGTGGCTCATGCCTGTAATCTCAGCACTTTGGGAGGACAAGATGAGTGGATCACCTGAGGTCAGGAGTTCAAGACCAGCCTGGCCAACATGGTGAAACCCCGTCTCTACTAAAAACACAAAAATGAGCCAGGCGTGGTAGCGGGCGCCTGTAATCCCAGCTACTCGGGAGGCTGAGGCAGGAGAATCGCTTGAACCCGGGAGGCGGAGCTTGCAGTGAGCAGGGATTGTGCCATTGCACTCCAGCCTGGGCGACAGAGCGAGACTCTGTCTCAAAAAAAATAAATAAATAAATAAAAAAAGGCTTCAAGAAAGAGGCATTAATGTCTCTATAAGTTTTACTCACCCTGTACTCTTAGTATGAACAAGTCTTTAAATGTGTCTGCTAATCAATTAAATTATTTTTCTCATTTCTTATGTTAAATATCACTCATTGAATACATACTCTCCCTTTAAAAGAGAGACAAATAGCAAGCTTATTTTCTAAGAAAGTGATAGTTTCAATTCCTCTGTGAAAGTGGACAGATATCCTAGGTTTTTTTTAAATTCAACTTTATATTAAAATGCTTACACATTCTAACGCAGTTGTAAGAGATAGCAGAGAAAGATGCCAGCTACCTTTTCCCCAGCTTCCGCCAGTGGTAACATCTTGCCAAGCTAGACGTTATAATTGTACTATAAGCATTGTTACAGTCAGCACAGAGGACGGCCGTCACCAAAGGGTCCCTTCTGTTACCCTTTCACAGTCGTACCCTCCTCTCACCTGCTTCCACCCCCTTCAGAACTGCTGGGAAGCATGAATCTGCCCTCCATTTCTATCATTTTGTCGTTTTGAGAATGTTATATAAATAAAATTATTCAGTGTACGATCTTTGGGGATGGGCTTTTTCCACACAGCACATTTCCCCTGAGATCCATCCAAGATATTTTGTATATCAACAGTCGGCTCCTTTTTTACTGCTGAGTAATATTCTAGGGTGTGGAGGTACCAGTTTGTTGAACCACAGATCCACTGAAAGACATCAGAGTTGTTTCCGTGTTCTGCTAATGTGAATAAAACTGCTATAAACATTCATATACAGATTTGTGTGTGTACCTACGTCTTCATTTCTCTAGGATAAATAACTAAGAGTATAACTCTGTCATCTGGTAAATACATATGTCATTTTTTATGAAACTGCTATATTCTTTTCCAGAGTGGTTCTACCATTTTATATTCCCAGTAGCAATTTGCGAGTAATCCAATTTCTCCACATCCTCACCAGCATTTGGTGTTGTCTTTATTTTGTATTTTAATTTACCTACTTTACCTATTACTCTAGATATTTCTTTATACATTCTTAACTTGTCATGCTCTACTGCAGTTGCTATTTTGTAGGTCAAGTTTAGAAATCTTACCTTTCCTTGCATCTGTGTTTATGTTTGCCTGAAATGTTTCTTCTACATGTAGAACTACATTAGACAATGCTATAACTTTTGCTGCAACCCTCTAACATAATTTAGAAAACTCAAGAGGAGAAAAACAGTGCATTGTATTTAACCATATTTTTGCTTACTATGTTTTTCCCTCCTTCCTAGTGTTCCAAAATTCCTTTTTTTGTTGTTTCATTTGTTTAGAAAATTTCTTTAGCCATTCTTTTAGGGTAGGTCTGCTGGTGACAAATTCGCTTAGTTTTTCTTTATCTAAAAAAAAAAGTATTGATTTGTTCTTTCTTCCTGAACGACATTTTCACTGGGTATAATATTACAGGTTGGCAGTTCTTTTCTTTCAGCATTTGAAAAACATTGTGCCACTTCCTTCTAGCCTTCATGGTTTCTGATGAGAAATCCACTGTAATTAGAACAATGTTAGCCCTATAGGGAAGGTGTGATATTTCTCTGGCTTCTTTCAAGATCTAAAATTTGTCTTTAGTTTTAAGAAGTTGAATTACGTTGTGTGTTGGTGTGGGTTTCTTTGGGTTTTTCCTGTTTTAGATTCACTCAGCTTTATAAATCCATCTATAACTTTATGTCTCTTGCAAACTTTGGAAGTTTCCAACACTTATTTCTTTGAGCATTTGCCCACCATTATCTTCTCCTTCCAGGAATCCCCTGACACAAACTTTAAATGCTCTGTTGGAGAACCACAGGTCTCTGAGGCTCTATTCCTTTTTTCTTTTTCCAGCCTACCTTTTCTTTGCCATTTGGACCGTGTCATTTCTATGTTCCAACTTCCAGTTCACTGACTCTTTTCTCTGTTCCTTCCATTCTTATGTCAAACCCATCAGTGAGTGTTTTATTTCAGAAATTTCAAACAAGAGGCTCTCCACTCAGCCTTTACTAGTGTTGGTGGGGACAAGGATAGGGCCGCAGTTTTTCTGTTGCATTTGGCTGGAGTAGACTGGTTATTGTCTAAATGTTTTCTATGTTGCTAGGCAGCCCCTTTCTGAGTCCTCTGGATAAAAAACAGGCCATTGTTGGGGATTTCTTCCTTCCTTCCTTTCTTCCTTTTCCCTTCCCTTCCCCCTTCCTTTACCCCTCCCTTCTCTCTCTCTCTCTCTCTCTCTCTGCCCCTCCCTTCCTCTCTGCTTCTTTTTTCTTCTCTTTTCTTTTTGTCTATATATGTTGACATTTCCTGGTTGCCAGCTTCTTCAGTTCCACATCTGAGGTAACGTAGCAAAAAGAAAACTCAAGAAATTCACCTCTGGATTCTTCCTTGGGTTCTAAAATCCCTACTCTGTCCACATTCTTCTCACTACTTTCAGAATCTTCCTAAGCTTGTACAGCGGACCCTTGAATAACATGGGTTGAAACTGCATGGGTCCATTTATATGCAGATTTTCTTCTGCCTCTGCCACCCCTGAGACAGTGAGACTAACTCCCCCTCTTCCTCTTCCTCTTTAGCCTACTCAACATGAAGACAAAGACAATGAAAATCTTGATGATCCACTTCTACTTAATGAATAGTAAGTATCCTCTCTCCTTTTTGTAATGCTGTTAATGTTTTCTCTAGTTTTTTTATTATAAGCATACAGTACATATTACATATGAAAAATATGTATTAATCAACTGTTCATGGTATCAGTAAGGCTTCCCGTCAATAGCAGACTACTGGTAAAGTGTGAGGGGAGATAAAAGTATACATGAGTTTTGTCTACATAGCGGTTGGCACCCCTAACTCCATGACTCCACGAGTCAACTGTACAATATGCAATGTCTAGGCTTTTTAGTGTAGTTGCTGGGAGGAAGAGGGAAAAGTATGCCTACTCCAGCTTCCCAGAAGCAAAATCTGTGCCAGATCATTCGTTTTCAATGTCTATATTTTTTCCATTTTCCTTTAATTTTTTAAAGTTCTTAAAGTCTTGCCAATAACAAAACTGAACAGATGAGTGTGTAATGAAAATAACTATACTCTAACAGTGCTTCTCTAAGTGGCCTGTGGATATGCTCTCCCAGAACTGAAAATTCTATGAAAATTTTTTAGATGTGACATCAATTCTATTATAATCTTACAAATACCCTTTGCCAGTTAAATAGACAAACTCGCTTTTTAAAATTATGACATTTCATAAGACTGTGGTCTCAAGCTATAGTTCCCCAAAGTACCTGAGGTGAGGCACTAAAACTAATTTCCTCCTCAAAGAAGGTGAAACTAAGTGTGAGAGATACTGCTCAGTATGTGGGGTGACCATTGCCTCAGTTTTCCTAGGACACTCCCAACATATAATTTTGTCCTGGAATAATTATTGACAGGGTCTTCTTTTATACTCACAATATCTCATTTTGCATGATAAGCTAATATATATGTTCATATCACCTATGATAAAGAATACGAAACCAGGAGGAAGACACCCAGCAAGCATAGACACCACCCCAGCCATCTCTTCTTCTCTTCAGGACACCAAGGTGTATATTTAACATTCATTAATGGAAGCATTAAGTAGCTCATATGGAAGGTCCATCTTCTTTTTCTCAGCAGCAACTTATTATTAGATATTTTGTGCTTATACTGTGAAATATAGCACCTGTAATGATAATGGGTAACTAAATGATATTGACTAAATAGTTGTAAACATATGTTCTAAGATTATACAAGAATATCTAGGATGCTAAAATTCTGCCAGTTGTACACTTAAAGAAAACATAGCCATCAATTTGCAATTACATGTGTAACTTCCTAGTCTTTACAGTGAAACTCTTCTATGAACAAAGTTTGCCAACTTCTCGGCACCTAAATCATTTAACTGTGATTTAATAGAAGTTCCATAAGTATGAACCTTTCTTTTTCAGTGTCCTCAGACACAAGTTCTCAACAGCCAGCTAGGCATCTCCAAACACACGTACTCAGCTGGCATCAACTCCCATCATGTTGGAACAATGCAGCATCCTTCCCCCAACCAAACCGGGTCTTCAGACTTCCCATTTCCTTCTATGGCATGACATTTTTCTCTAGTTCCCCACCAATGAAACTTCAATGCCAAGTTAGTCAAGGTTATGTGAAATATAGCCCATATTTTATTTTTTGTCCAATCTTCAACATCTCTCTTCAGGTTCTAGAAGAACAAGAACCCATCCTTTTTGGCAAGCATTCTCTATGCTCATTCCCCTATTCCTCCATCTACAGAATCCTACCTCAACTCAATTCATCCAAGAAGTTCTTCCTGGTGACTTCCAACCAGATGTGTTTTCTCCACCTTTAAAACTTCATAATATTTTCAGGTGCGATACGGCAGTTATGTTTCATATTCTTATATTATAGCTATTAGGTTGAACAACATGAAATTGTTGAACCTGTAAAAATGGCAATCCCATATGGTTCAATCTAATATTTCTCTCGGTTTTAGGGCTCATAAATAAAGAGCAGTCTCCATGAAAACAGGGGCTGAGTTAGGTCTCTCTTTTGGATCCCCTGAGAAGCCTAGGACATTGGAAGTGCTTAAGAAGTGTTTGTCAAAATAGACTCATAAATCAACACATGTCTTAGGCATATATGTTTGCAAAGTCAATCATCTGAAGCAATTAGTCTAACTACATATGAAATCGCTAATTGTTTTATGAATCAGCACAAATGGCAGTTTAGAACCTGAAGGTTTTGGCAATATAAAATGTTTTGATTCAAGGAGCTGTTTTAAAATTATTTATTTGTGAAGGAAACATCCTTGGATTTAGAGGTTGGCAGATACAGTGAAAATCTTTTTAGTTGACTGAAATAGAAAAAAAAAAAATCAAAACCCTTTTTAGCACATGCACTTCCCTTATAAAACCAAATTGCCTGAAAGCAGAGGCCAGCAGTTTGTGCACAACGAGTATGTGCCTCAACACCATCAGCAGGAGATGCAATGCAGAATGACAGGAACAATTTGCATTTCTGTAGCTTCTTTGTATACCCAAATTCTGAGAGCATTTTACAAAGCCATAAATATCGTTACCCACAAGAGACAGGGAAAGGATGCAGATACAAGGACGGACTTTGTGTACTCTGACCCAGGAGCCCCCCTGCGCGGAGCAGTGATACCCACACAGCTGTAAACCTGAGTGCAATTAATTGATGCTGGTTAAGAAAAGGGGAACATACATCTGCAGGGTCCTTCACAGTCACAGGGACCATTCCCAGAAAGCGTTTCGTCTTTCTTGCATTCACAAAGAATAGCGTCAACAAATGTTGAGTTGTATTTGCGAGTTTCCCCAACAAAGGACGGGTCTCTAGTTCTAGGTGATGGTGGTATTATCAGTCACCTCACCAGTCCCCCTAATTCCTACAAAAATCACCAATCCGAATGACATGTGTGTAGGGCTTTCATGGGGCTAGGAGCAGTGGGCTGCCAGAAGCTCTGCTGGGGCCAGGAGAGAAGAGAGCATCGTTCACACTTATTACGTTGCAGGGGCCTATTTCCAGGGACAATGTTACTGAACCTTGGAGAAATTCATGCAAAGGTATACTGTTGTTGTGCTCCAGGCTTCCTTCCCCATCAGCTGCAGAACTGTGCGATTCTGGTCCTGGCCAAGGAGTGCCCAAAGCTAGTTGCCAATGGGCCCCGGAGCCCACACCTCCTCTAGCGCAGCATAGCAGCAGCCCTCACTAACCTCCAGGGGTCACAATTGGGTTACAAATTCCTCACAGTGCAGGGACTGAGCAGCCTGATTGGGAACAATTTATTCGAATCCTTCTTCGTTAAGATTCAAATGGAATAAGTAAGGTAGAAATTGAACAGACACAGAAATTGTGCCTTGCTGCTCCTGTAGTCAGTAGACATTTATTCACTAAGCCTAGCTCGTGTGTTCTTTCTCTCTCTCTTTCTCACTCGCAGTTGTTCTTCCAATCTTTCCTGCTTGCTGTTTTAATGCATAATTAAGAAGGTCAGAATTAATGAAGCAGTGTGGAGTAAAGTTCAAGGAATCCCCAGGCACTATTTATTCTATTAGATCTCAGGCATGAATGTCAGATTGGCAGCGCAGGCGGCATGAGCAATGGAGCTGGCGGCATCCCAAGAACGGCCGCCAAGGGAGACTCACCTGCACAGTCCAGTCATTCCTCAGCTCCTTCCCTGCGAAAATCACACGCAACTGGTCAGCCGGAACCCCCTGTCGCTTAGCAACCACCTCCTTGAGCTGGAAGATGCTGGTGTCAGAATCGACCTCCACTGGGAAACCATGGCTGGAGTTGAACCTGACAAACACTGACCAAGGAAATTGGAAGGGAGAAGAGAAAGTGAGCATCACTCGAAGCCCTTAAATGGTGATAGCAACATTTCTCAACCGATTTACCCCTCGCAGCCCTTCAGTGAATGGTATATATTTTCTTTCACTTACAACAAAAAACTTAATGCTATAGAGCAATATTTGGGAAAAACAGAGTTAGTTACCCACGAGATTTCCCTTTCATATATTCGTCAGTGACCTGCAAACCAAAATTGCATTCTCCCTTTGACATCCATCCTGGGAAACAGAGAGACTTGAGCAGGACACTTGCTTGATTGGAATTGAAAGAGTCCCATGAGTTTATTGAAAAGACTCAGCTCTGACAGCATGTACACACTCACACTCCCTCCACAGTGACCCTCTTAATAAAAATAGGAGGCGATGTGTTAGCACTCAAGGTATAGCAATGGAAAAAAATCTAAGCTGCTCTATAGACCAGAGTGAAGACCCACTCGGGGCTATGGCTCAGAGCCCTAGACTTGGGTGGTCCTGGCCAAAATGCTCCACTGGGTCTATGAAGACAATTATTTGCCCTCTTTTTGGCAGGGAGGGGGTGGAGACACTAGTGACACCATTTGTCTTATTGAAGCCACTGTTCCCCGTGAGACCCAGGCTGCATCCTCTAGTCTGTCTGTCTGCATGCCGTCTTCTCACTGCACCTGCTGTCCCACCTCTTCAGCGTCTCTCACTGCCCTTTACTTTCCATTCTTTCTCTCACTGCTTGAAGTCACGCTCTCATCACATCTTTTCTAGAGTCTCATAATAGCCCCCAACTGGAGTCTTGATCCACGCCATCACCTCCAAAAGGCCCTACATAGTTCTGCAAAATGAGCCTTATTAATACAGAGCTATGTCACACCACTCAAATCCTTTAAGTCTCACACTGTCGGCTGGTGAGGAAAGACTCCAAGATCCCTTTCATCTAGCACAAACCTACATTCCAGCATTTTCTTCATTAATCTCCATGTGTACTCTTTTAAACTAAATGCTCCCAGAAAAAAAAAAATCACAAAAAACTGCTGCACACAACTTCTTGCTTTTATTCATGACCTCCCTCCTTCTCCTCTTCCTATTGAAATCCTGCCTACCTCCATGGCCCACTTCAAATGTGACCTCCCCCAAGAAGCTTCTGGCTATCAGCTACTGCAAAAGCCTGATCTTCCTTATTCAGGGCACCAGTGGCATTTACTATATATGTCTTTTAATATTCACCACATTCCTCATGGAAGCAGGATAGCACACGGGTTAAAAGAACATCCTGAAGCATTAGGAAGACCTATGAAAAATCCCCACAGACTCCTTTAATTGGCTTAGGATGCTAGGGGTCAATCTATTAACCTCCCTCTTTAGGTCTCAGTTCCCTTATCTTGAAAACATAAATAAACCACAGACCATATTATTCGGTTCATTAAATAATATTTATAGTATTTAAAACTATCGTCTTGTAACATTTAAAAATAATGGACATTTAGCTGTTTTTGATATACATTTTGCCTTCTTTAAAAGATAACAAACTCCTCAAGGGCAAGTGTTATTGTTTATTTACTGCTGTGTTTCCTTTAAATGTAGTACTATAGCTAATTATTTCTCAATACCAATGTGAGATGACCCACCTCATCATAATTATAATAATCATTACAATGCCAATAATAATCAGGCACTTACTATGTGCCAGACATTGTGCTCTCATATGGTTTTTCTAAGCCTCCCAGTGATCTGGTCAGGTCCCTATTATTATCCTTATTTTACAGAATAATAAACGAAGGCACAGGGAATGGGACCCACTTTTCTAAGGACATTAATTACTTTCTAATGGAACTGGGTTTCAAATTTATTTCAATCTAACTCTAAAGCTCATTCCATTTCTACTAAAATAGGCTTCCTGAAACCATCTCAGAAGAAAAGTCCAGGCCAGGCACAATGGCTCAAGCCTGTAATCCTAACACTTTGGGAGGCCAAGGGGCAAGGATGACTTGAGCCCAGAAGTTCAAGACCAGCCTGGGCAACAAAGTGAGACCCCATCTCTACAAAAAATTTTTTTAAACAATCAGCAGGGCGTGGTGGCGTGCACTTGCAGTCCCAGCTACTCTGGAGGCTGAGGTGGGATGACTGTGTAAGCCCAGGAATTAGAGGTTTCAGTGAGCTATGGTTGTGCCATTGCACTCAGTCACCCTGGGTGACAGAGACCTTGTCTAAAAAAAAAAAAAAAAAAAAAAAAAAAAAAAAAAAAAAGTCCACATTTCTATCCCTCATGATTAAAAAGATAACAATAAAAAGGCTTTATGACATAAATCAGATATTCCCTATATGGGTGTGCAGTACAAATAAATAAAAGCTCCAGTGAGGAGCTAAGAGCAAAGGACCGTGAACAATAACCATGAACAACATGGGCCCCAAAACAGACGTGACACTCCAGTGAGGGCAGGTGGTCCAGATGGCACCACAAGAACAAAGGCCTGACATCTCTGACCAGCACGGAAAGTGTTTAGAAAAAGGAAGGACGACCAGTGACAAAGTGCTCCAAATAAAGAAAATTCATGAAAAATACTAATTACGGAGGAAAAGGTGCTTTTGATACACTTTTAAGTCAATTTCATTTGACGCCTTTGAAAATAGAGGGGAAGAAATAAAAATGTATTGGAAGCCCTGAGGTATCTTCACAGCATCCTCAGATCAGAGACCATAAGACAACCAATTCATCAGAAAAGACACATGACAAGTTAGGGGCTATAGGGACAAAAGATATGACCCCAGTTCTAAATTTCATTTTCTACTAGTGAGAATAGATTTAAAGTAAAACACCATAGGAAGGAATGTGGGAAGAAGTGGCTGGAATTTGTGCCAAAGCTGCTATAAAACCAGATAAAAATTCCAGGAGATCCTAAGTTTATGATTTTGCTCCAGGGGTTCAAATCATGGAACTCCTACTGCAAGGATGAGAGTTTTTTTGTAAAGGGAAACTGCAAAAAATATTAAAGATACCTCTGTCCAACTACTGAAATCCTAAGTATATACAAGTTTTTTCTATAATAGAAAAGTTACAGATTTAAAGTTACAGTATTTAGATAAATCATAAATACTACGGATATGAATATTTTTAACAGTAAATCTAACATACAATATAAATTTAAAATGGAAAGATAAACCAAATACATAATATTTGACCAACTAAAACATTCGCATGAATAAGAAAAAACATCTTAAGAAACTCACTGAGTTCATAATCAAGTGCCATTATGTGAAAAATGGCTAGTGCTGAATGGCAGTAATGTGATTTGAGTGGGTCTCAACCTTTTTCTGACATATGTGGGAAACATGTCATGTCCCATCTGTACCAGCCCCTGAACTCCAGCCATGATTTCCAAAACAGGAGTGGAAGGAAGTACCCAGTTCTCCCCACCTACTACCTCTTTAAAGTCACAGAAGGCAGAACGTCTTTAGAGCTACATAAAGAGAAATTTGAATGCTGGTTGTAACGCTTGCTAATTTTATGACAAGTTACCTGGCCACCTTGACTGTTAGCTTCCTGATCTAATAAATCGGTATAAGGGATGCAACACCAATGTCTGTTACACAAGATTTATTGAGATTATGGATGTATTAGAAAATCTCAGAAAGAGACTAGTACAGGGCCTATCCTCCTAGTGCTGGGCAAGTGTGTGCTCCAAAAATAGTTCCCTATTCTAGGCACCTAGAGGAGGTAGAGCTAATGAAAGCAGTGTCCTTTGCTTGCATGGTAACTAAGGGAGATTAGATAGGATGTGGGTAAATACTAAATAAAGTAGCCAATTTTTCTGGATTCTGCTCCTCTTGGTGGACAGAAAACTTCCAGAGACCAAGAGATATGATAGAGAATATGGCTCACCTCTACTTTCTAAGGTTTAATTACATATGAAAAGCTTGGAAATGCATTGTTTTAATAATTGTTTTGATGACGTATAATATAGTATCAGAAACAAACAACATACCAGTAAACATTATCAATCATGTGTATTATCAATCAACATCATAATGCACTGATAACAAAAAACATAATGAGATATATCCAGATTCCTTTTTTATGATATCCCTAACCAGGGTTGAGAAGTCCCAGAGAGTAAGGAAGTGAATGGGTGGGAAGAGGGGAAAGGGTTATTGGTGGATGGGCCCTTATATTTCTTTTAAGACAATTTTATTTACCAAGTCTGACCAGGGTATAAACTTCATAAATATAGTAGTCAATATCAATAATTAATGATTCTTAAATGATTCTGGCTGCTCCTCAAGCAGCCATTCCGCCTCCTGCACTGAGAAGAGCAATGTCATTCATCAGCACAGCCCCATCCTCCTTGTCATTGGTCAAATGATTGGTTCAGGGATGATGCAAGCCAATCTGTGCCTGGCACTCCCCTTGTTCCAGTGATTGATTCTGCAGAATACAGGTGACATAAGGTGGACTAATCAAAGTCATATCCAGAACTGTCAAAGGTTCGGTGAAGTCCTTTTAGATGGCAAATAACATCATGTGATGCCTCAGACAGTTTTGCTGAGAGACCCAAAGAAAATCACAGCCCAAGATAGACCATTAACATGAGCACAAAAATGGACTCAGTGCACTGAAGGCAGGCAATTCTTCCTCATGAGAGGGTTTCCTAAGCTCCGTGGGATGTTCGGCTCCACCTGCAGCCCAGTAAGTATCAGAGGCACGCCCCGGTTAATTGCGGCAACACAAAAGTAACTCCACATGTTTCCAAATGTCCCTTGCCTGGGAAGTTTCTTCTGCACCTTTGAGAACTATCACTAAATCTAGTATTCCCTAACTTTAGCAAACCAACCAACCTGTCCTCACACCCTCCTGCGATTACTACCCCATTTTTCTATATAGAAATTTTCATTGAGAATTTCTTATCACCCTGGTCTCCATTTCTTTATTTTATACTCTTCCGTGAGCCAACACTTGAAGACTGCTCTTGGTAAAGCAATGAGCTCTACACTTCAATCCTGTCATCACATTTCAGTTCTTATCAGGTTGACCTTCCAGGGACATTCAATATAGTTGGCTTCTGTTCTCATCATCCTTTCTTCTCTTGGCACCCGCCAGAGAAACCCTTCTGGTTTCCCCTACAAAAGAGGACATACTTTTGTAGCTTCCTCTTCTGGATTCTCTCCCTTTATTGGCCCTGCAGATTTTGGAGCATCCCAGGAGTCTGAATCTGTGTATTCTCCCAGGTGACCTCCTCTAATCCCGTGGCTGTAATGCAATGGATATGTCATCAACTCCCAAATCCTTATTTCCAGACTTGCCATCTCCCTGGACCTTTCTTTCTCTTTCTCTTTCTTTCTCTTCCTCCCTCCCTCCCTCCTTCCCTTCCTCCCTCCCTCCTTTATTTCTTTCTTTTCCTCTCTCTCTCTCTCCCTTCCTCTCTCTCTCTCTCTCTCATCTCACTCTGTCTCCCACTATAGAGTGCAGTGGCACGATCTCAGCTCACTGCAACCTCCGCCTCGCAGGTTCAAGCAATTCTCCTGCCTCAGCCTCCCGAGTACCTGCGATTACAGATGCCCACCACCACACCCAGCAATTTTTGTATTTTTAGTAGAGAAGGGGTTTCCTCATGTTGGCCAGGCTGGTCTCGAACTCCTGACCTCAGGTGATCAATTCGCCTCAGCCTCCCTAAGTGCTGGTATTACAGGCATGAGCCACCACACCTGGCCCTCACTGGAACTTCAGATAATTGCATCTACTAGCATTTGATATCTACACGGATGTCCAGTAGATAAATAAAATAAACATTCTCTTCCTACACCTGTCTTAGTGCTTTGCCTTATTCCTACCCTCTTTGATCCATCAATAAATTTTGTTAACGGTAGTCCTTCATTTCTAACCTAATCTCATCTACAGCAATCTATTTCCCTACCCAATAATTTGTGGTGGAACACAAATCTCTAGAACTGCATCTTTGGACTCATAGCTCAATGTTAAGTGACCTTGCATGTGCAATTTCATCTTCATTGGGTTGTTATAAGGATCTGCATTATTACTAGCTACAAGCATTTTTATAGCTCGTTTTTTATTTTTTAATTGCTATTTTTATGTTTTATATTTTATTATTTATTTTTATTTTTATAACTATTACCTGCATACTCATTTAGCACTTGAGTATATGCTGTATGATACCATCCTCTAGTAGCTTGTTTCATAATTCTTTATTTCTGTCTTTGAAGATCTTTGTGACAGGAAGCCTCATTTCATCTCCCCACTTATACATAGAGGCCAGGATTTTTGCCTTTTATAATGAATTATTAAATGCTATCGGATCAACCCTCCTGCAAAAAAACTACTATAAAATTGGGACTTCACTAAAGAAAGCAGATTCTTGAAAAGCCATAGAAGAGTGAACAAAAAAAATGAAGATTTCTAGTTAGGGGGTCCACATCAGGAGAAGTACAGTTACGTAAAGGGAGTGCCCATTCTCACAGCTTTAGGCTTGAAGCCAGGTGCAGTCCGTGCACATGGCATGTGGGCCAGCAGGCACTTTGGTTGCAAAGCCACAGTTTTTCTGGCTGAAGAAGCAAAACACCAAGACTGGGACACCTGCCTCCGAGGAGACACAGAAGAAAATGAGTCAGAAAGAGAAACCCAAATTTCTATCTATCCACGTCTCTGGCTAACCCCTGAATGATGAAGGTGCGTTATCAGACTCAAAGTTGCTCAGCTAAAGGAAGGATGTGCTCAAGGAGGTGAAGTATAATGCCCCTGTGACAGTAAATCCCCTGTGAATGTAAACGCCCCTATGACTGTAAATGCCCCTTTGAGTGTAACACCCCTGTGAATATGAACGCCCGTGAATGTAAACGCCCCTGTGATTGTAATCCCCCTGTGAATGTAAACGCCCCTGTGATTGTAATCCCCCTGTGAATGTAAACGCCCCTATGATTGTAACACCCCTGTGATTGTCTTCCTCCTGAAGAATACAGCATGGAAAGGGGAACAAAAACAACCTCACAGTGGAGAAACCTGACAGGCGCTACCGCAGCCAGGTGATCAAGGTCAACATCAACAGTGGTAAGTCATCTTGATCATGTTTACCCTTGACACAGTGTGATGCAATGGGCAATTTATCTCTGTGGGCTTTCTCTCAAAAACACATAAGCCCAGTCTAATCTTCACGAAAACATCGCACAAAACGCAATTGAGGGACGTTGTAAAAAACACCTGGCCAGCACTGCGCAAACCTTTCAAGGTCATCCAAAACAAGAACAGTCTTTAGAAACTGTTAGAGTCTAAGGGCCTAAGGAGATGAGTAAATGCAATGTGGTAGCCTGGATGGAATCCTGGAAAAGAAAAGAGACATTCGGTAAAACTAAGAATATCCAAATACAGTTTGAATTTTAGTTAATAAGAATGTATCAGCATTCTTTCATTAATGATAACAGATGTAGTATAACAATGTAAGAAGTTTAAAATAGGGAAACTGGGTGTGGGGTACATGGGAACTCCCTGTACTATTTTTGCATCTTTTTCTGTAAAACTAAAACTGTTGTAAAATAAATGTTCATATATATTAAAGAAAAAGATCTAGATGGAGATCAGACTTGCACACAAAGAACAGATTTTCTTTTCAAGATCAACCAAAATAAATGTCTTCCAAAACAAACAAACAAAGAACCAAGGGTCACTGGAGAAAAAATTACAGAATTCAGTGTCTCCAGTAATTACGTTTATAATGTCTGCGATATAATTTTAAAAGTATCTAACATTTCAAAGAACCATGAAAGTAAACCATTCTCGGAGAAAAGAAAATCAAGTGAGACAAAACCCTGAAATGACTCTAATTTTGAAACTAGGAAACAAAATTTTAAAGGAGCTAGTAGTATTACTGTCCTTAAAGGAGTAAAAAAAAAAAAAAAAAAATTGCAATGAGTGGAAAGATATGACAGATAATCAGAGAAATAGAAATTATAAAAAGGAATCAGGCCGGGCATGGTGGCTCACTCCTAGCAATTTTTTGGGAGGCCCACACGGGCAGATCACTTGAGCCCAGGAGTTTGAGATCAACCTGAGCAATACAGTGAGACCTTAGCTCTATTTTAAAAAAAAGAAAAAAAGAGAGAGAGAGAGAATCAAATAGAAATTCTAGAACTAAAACTACAATTGCCTGGAATAAAAATCTGTTAAATAAATTTAATACCCAAATGGAGATTAAAGAGGAAAGCATTAGTGAAGAATAAAGAATTGTTTTTAAATGAATAGATGTTAGGGACATATTAGATAATATCAAATGATCTAATATATATGTTGTTGGAGTCACAAAGAAAAAATGAAAGAATGGGGCAGAAAAATTTTTCAAAAAATAATGCCCTCAAATTTTAATATGTGATGAAATAAATAAATTTACATATTCAAGATGTTCAACAAATGTCAAGCAGGATAAATATGAACGTGCTTGTGTCAAGGCAAATCATAGCATAGTCAAACTATGGAAAGCCAAAGACAAGGAACAAGCTTTGAAAACAACAAGAAAAGTTTGTCTGTCACATACAGGGTTAAAATGATGTAATTAAGGGTTAACTTCTGGTCAGAAACAATGGAGTCCAGAAGTGACGGCACAATATTACAGTTCAGGAAGAAAACAAAAAGCAAAAAATGCTTGTCAATGCAGAAGTTTATATCCAGTGAAAATATCTTTTAAAAATGAGAATAAAATAAAGATATTTTAAGATTAAATAAAATTAAGATAATTTATCACAAGCAGACTCATATCACAAGAAATATCAAATAAACTCTTCAGGCTGAAGTGAAATGGTACAAGACAGAGATTCAAATCCACAAGAAACAGTAAAAGCATCATAAGTGCTAAATACAGAAGATAATTAGGTAGGAATTTTTTTGCTTTATTCAACATAATTTATTTAATGCAGATGACTGGGTAAAGCAGAAATTCTATTCCATGGGGAGTTTAGAACATATAATATGTATGCCAAGTATGGCATAATAGGTGCGGGGTAAATATGGGTCTTTTATTTATTTTATGAAGTGGAGCAATATTAACAATGAAGAAACTAAGAAGTTAAGGACAGACATTATATTTCTTATAGTAAAAATCAAAATGAATAAAAATATTGACCCAAAAAGCAAGCAAAAATCATAATGGAATTCCAAAAAATATTGAAATAATCCTTCCAAAAAGGGCAGGAGATAATGAAGAATGGAAGAAAAATAGAGAGGTAGATAGAAAAATACAATAAACTGGTGACCAGAACTCACCACATCAATAATTACATTAAATTTTAATGAAGTAAACACTCCAATTAAAAGGCAGGGACTACGTGGACAGAGGGAAGTGGGTCCAGCTATACTCTGTCTACAGGGCTGCATTTTAGATATAAAGACACAAATGGTTTCAAAATAAATGAATAAAAAATACGCCAAGTAAAATGTAATCATAAGAAGGCAGGGATGACAATATTATTAATATCACAAAAAATAGATTCAAAGGCAAAACTATTTTGAAAAAACAAAAAGAGAGAAACTTAAGACTATGCTGCCACCACTTGAAAAGGTGGATCGCAAGGCTCAAGAATCATAGCCCAAGCCTTCCCACTCCTTCCCTCCTTGAGGTGGAAGAGGTGCCCGGTACTGCATCGGGCCAGACTGGGAATGTCAAGGTCTCCTGCCACTTCCAGGTTCCCCGGCTGGAAACAGAATGAGGACTTCCTACCCTCCTCAGGGAGTAAGAGACCCTGGTCTTAGAACATAGCAACTGATGAGGACATCGCGCATAGCCTCAAGGAAACAGCTTTGGTTCTTTGACGAGGGTGTATCTCCAGTAGAATTCCCTCCTCTCTCTCTTTTTCCTTCTCTCTCTCCCCAACATACTCTTTTTTTATTCTTTGATTAATTCTTCCACTTTTAAAATTATTTAGTAGAAACCACATTAAGGGAGATGGAGAATGAGAGGTAGGAAAAAGGCAACTGAAAATCTATATAATAAGACGTGTATACTGTGGCTAAGACCATGGATGTTAGAACCCTCTGTGTGGGTTCACAGACTAGCTCTGTCCCATCCTAACCAACTATGTAAGCATGTCACACAGTTTCTCTCTCTCAATTTATTACCAACAAAATAGGCAATAATAATAGTATCTGGCCAGACACGGTGGCTCACACCTGTAATCCCAGAAGTTTGGGAGGCTGAAGTGGGCAGATCACCTGAGGTCAGGAGTTCGAGACCAGCCTGGCCAACATGGTGAAACCCCATCTCTACTAAAAATATCAAAATTAGCTGGGCGTGGTGGCGCACACCTGTAATCCCAGCTACTCAGGAGGCTGAGACAGGAGAATCACATGAACCCAGGAGGTGGAGGTTGCAGTGAACTGAGATCGCGCCATGGCACTCCAGCCTGGGCGACAAGAGTGAGACTGTGTCTCCAAAAAAAAACGATGAGAAAGTGGACATAATAATAAGGGCAAAACTCTTTGGGGAAGGAGATGACAAAGAAAGGAGAAGAAAGACTGGATGATAACTAGAGAGGGTTTGTGTCTTATAAGGTATACGTTCTCAGTATACTTTGTACCTCATCAAAAATAATAATCATAGTATCTACCTCCTAAAGTTGTTGTGAGAATTTAATAAATCAATATAAGAAAGGTATTTAGAAGAGTGCCTAGGCACATTTTAAGTTTCAGCAATTATTGACTCTTAACTTCAGGTCCAACATATAGTGTAAAAATTATTGTAATTATCACGTCAGTTGTGCCATATTAATGTTTGGTTTTAAAAATGTACCATTTATTTTCTTTAAATAAGAAAAGTGTTCCCAATGGAGCTCTATTCCACTACACTTTATAGTAAATTGTAATTGGTCTAAAGTGTCGTTAGTATACTGATAGTGATATCTTCTGTTTAAATAGAGCTCTCAATTTTCAAAGTGCTTTTACAGACATTATCTCAGTTAATCTTCACAATAGCACTGAAAGATAATTGGGAGACCATTTACTATTCCTATTTTTAAAATAAAGAAACAGATGCACAAAGAATAAAAGTGGCTTGCCCAAACTTCACAAGGAAAGAAGCAGGAAAAAGAATCTTGGGTCCTAAACTCCCTCCTCTGTGTCAGTGGCTTTCACACTGGACTGTATGTTACCCTGAGGGTATATGGGACGTGCCAATGGAAAGTTCTCCTATTCCTCACACACCGTTCCTTCAAACAGATATGTCTGGAAACACATTTATGGCTGTTTCATGATGGATCATTTTGTCCCAGCTTCCCTTCGAAATCAACATTCTCCCACTTCACAAAACAAAGGAATACACTCAATCTCCCCCACGGTGGCTCTGGTGCACCACCACAGGGTGTTAAAGGAGCATGCCTTGAACAACTGGGAACGGGGAGCCTCTTTTAACCCAACCCGTTAACTCACAGTAGAGCTTTATTTCTTTCAGAGTAAGGTAAAGGTTGGCATTAGGAACGATGATGTATTTTTTAGCCATTTCGGACTGTGTTTTCAGCACGTGGGTTGAGTTAGGCTGGTATGAATACAGATACACAGTAAAGAGGGACAAGAGAGATGGTGATGTTCATTTAACTCTCATAGCTCTTCTACCCCTTGGTATTGCCAAAGAAGTAATTCCTCCTCAGGGAAGTTCTCAGAAGATCAGAGCTAAGATTGTTGTCTATAATACTGAAGATGACGGTATCTTATATCACCCAGGAGACAAACTGCTGGCAAAGTTCCATCTCTTACCTAACCATCCATCTGTCCATCTGCCCATTCATCCACACATCCACATAGCCAGCCATCCACCCATCCATCCACCTACTCCTCTGTAGTATAGTTATGCGTTTTGAGAAATGCATCCTTAGGCAATTTCATCATTGTGCAAACATCATGGAGTGTATTTATGCAAACCTAGATTATATAGCCTATTACACACCTAGGCTATATGATATAGTATATTGCCCCAAGGCAACGTGTACAGCATGCTACTGCACTGAATACTGTAGGCAATTATAATACAGTAGTGTTTGTGTCTCTAAGCATAGCAAAGGTACAGTAAAAATATGGTACTATAATCTTAAGGGACCACCATCATATATGTGGTCCCTCATTGACTGAAATGTTACTATGTGGTGCTTGACAGATATAAGATGGCTATGGGGGCCCATTTTTTTCTGAAAAATTAACTCCTATTGGCTGTCTGATTTGAAAAAGATTGGTTTTACATCATGTCAAAAGGCGGTCACTTTCCACAAATGGAATATGCAGCTCCAAGGTTTTGATTTAAAAAATGTTAAATAAAATAATTTTATTATAAATATTGTATTGACAAAAGTGTATTAAACTGAAGAACATTTCAATTTTTCCCAATGTTTCAAAATTTGTCAGATTGAACAAAATACCTCTAAATGATAGAATGGCAAGAAAAATTAAGTGAGTTAAAAAAAACTTTATAAAATATATTTGATACATTTCCTAGAAATTGAATAGGTGAATGTCTCTATATAATTTTGTCCAAGTAATTAGCTTCAAATTCTTTATTTTCAACAAAATTAAAGATGGATTCAATTGGGTTATAAATTGACAGATCACTGGAGTAATTATGACAAATATTACTAATAAATTTTTGTTACAATTTTGAAGACATTAAAAGAATGAAGTTGCTATAATAAAATCTCTTCTATTCCAATAAACTTATTAGTTAGAACACGGGCTTACACCCATAACAATGAAAAGGAAGAACAAAATGATGCTGAATCCATTTCATTCCAGCAATAAGTAAGATTCATCCACAGACAGGTTACCATGCATAAAAATAAGCCCATTCATCTAATTAAGGGATTTATTTCTAATATTTTTATGCTTAGTAATTATTTGTCAAAAATACCAAGAAACCATTCACCCAAATATATATTTATATTTTTAAGTGATTTGTATACTAAAAATAGCATGACACATCATGATTCACTAGAAATTAATACTAAGGCTTATGGTACAAGAGAATTTAAAAATATATCATAAACTTTAATTCTTATACATGTTTTTGTTGCAAAGATATATTTTGAGATGATGTGTAAAGATATTTAAAACAAAAAATAGTTGATTCTTGTTATTTTCTATAGGCTATAGTTGTAGTCTGTAAAGTCACCACGAACAGTAAACTGCTGAATACTAAAGCATTGTTCCTAGGGGAAAAATACAGGGTTAGGTTCCTTTGAGCCTCTGGTTACAACATTTTCATCCACCAGTCAATACATAACCTTGTTTTATGTGTGTTTCTGTTTAAAGACAGCTTGTTTATTACATTTTATTGATTCATTAACATTGCACTCATAGCCAATATCACTATAACTAATGCCTTAACTAGGTTTCTATAATGTGTATTTCTCCACAACGGACATCACCACCTACTTAAACTCAGGAACACTAGCCAGTACTTCAGTACTATGCTTGGGGCCATTTCGAACAATGAAATCACCAATAAAAAGCACCAAAATATGAAAAACATGACACTACATAGACCTCAAAGAGGGCATTTGTTTGCAGTACGAAAGTTGAAACAAGAAAGCAGAACACTCAACCTCAACTGAGAACATGCTTATTGAGCAACTCAAATCTTCACAACTCTGCCATTTCTGTGAATGACCTTAAAAGCTTCCAGTACTGATTTTGGGGCAAGGAATAATTTTACCATGTTGGTGAATTTGCAAATATGGAACCCGTGAAAAATGAAGATTAACTATATTACATTGGGATAAAGTTATGCAGGAGAGTAGAATAGAAATGAAAAAGTTTGTAAAAAAGAAACAATATCAAATTTCAGACTATTAAAAATCATCTTTTACATGTATTATTAGCAAGATGATACTGAAGGGTAAATCATCAGTTTTAATATCCCCCAAAAACATTTTTAAAATGATGCAATTGCTGTATAATTTAACCTTAATATTTATAATCTGACCATACTGCAACTACTTAAACCTATAATAAAATTTTTATATCAACTTAAAAATGTGCAAGGAAGTATATGGTTTCTCAAGGTGTTTTATAATACATATGAGCAAAATAATTTCAAGATTACTAACTTTAGAAATAGAAGCTAAAATCACAATGAGGCTGATTAATACAAACAAAGAAATAAAAACTACACAAAATCCCAAACTTAAGAGTCAGGCGTTGAAACCAAATAGCCATTCAGTGATGCAGACACAAACTCTGGGGCTCACACTGTAATGAGTGTGTTGTGTTTGTCTTATTAATAATGATGAAGTATTTTTTTATAAATACTGCTTTGCTCATTTTTATATAGACAATTTTCAAACAATTTTATATTTCTCAGTTGCTTCAATCAAAAAGAGGTTTGTGGCCGGGCGTGGTGGCTCTCATCTGTAATCCCAGCACTTTGGGAGGCCGAGGTGGGCAGATCACTTGAGGTGAGGAATTACAGCCAGTCTGGCCAACATGACAAAACCCCGTCTCTAATAAAAACACAAAAATTAGGCTGGGTGCAGTGGCTCGTGCCTGTAATCCAAGCTCTTTGAGAGGCTGAGGTGGGTGGATCACGAGGTCAGGAGTTTGAGACCAGCCTGGCCAACACGGTTAAACCCAGTCTCTACTAAAATTACAAAAATTAGCCAGGCGTGGTGGCACACACCTGTAATCCCCAGCTACTTAGGAGGCTGAGACAGGGAGAATTGCTTGAACCTGGGAGGTAGAGGTTGCAGTGAGCCAAGATCGCTCCACTGCACTCCAGCCTGGGTGATAGAGTGAGACTCTATCTCAAAAAAAAAAAAAAAAAAAAATTACCTGGGTGTGGTGGCACGTGCCTGTAATCCCAGCTACTCAGGAGTCTGAGACAGGAGAATCACTTGAACCCAGGAAGCAGAGGTTGCAGTAAGCCAAGATCGCACCACTGCACTCCAGTCTGGGTGATAAGAGCGAGACTCCATCTCAAAAAAAAAAAAAAAAAATTTTTTTTAAATTAATAGAGGTTTGTAAGAATATCTAAGAAAAATATTTCCTCAGACAGGAGCATTACTTTAAGGAAAAGATAGTACTATATAAATATATTCCACTGTTAAATATTTCCAGTACGTGTCTTTTCCTCCCAGAGATGGGACAGCTTGCTGGCTCTGTGAGTAAAATTAATTAGTCCTAGCTTTTTGTTGCCTTTTTTTTTTTTTTTCCCAGTGGCAGCTTGTAACTTTATCTCTTTTTTTTAAATATCCATAAATTTTCCATGCAACAATAGGATAAATTTATTTCACTAATTTTAGGATAAAGAAAATGAATAAAATTAAATGACTTATATTGAGTAAAATAAAAGAAGAGGAAGAAATAAATGTTTTTGTTTTGTTTTTAAGACAGGGTCTCACTCTGTCACTAAGGCTGGAGTATAGTTGCATGACATCGGCTCACTGCATGCAACCTCTGCCTCCCAGGCTCAAGGGATTCTCCTGCCCCAGCCTCCCGAGTAGCTGGGACTACAGGCATGCACCACCACACCTGGCTAATTTTTGTTTTTTTAGTACAGACGGGATTCGCCTTGTTGGCCAGGCAGGACTTCAACTCCTGACCCCAGGTGATCCACCCTCCTTGGCCTCCCAAAGTGCTGGGATTACAGGCATGAGCCACCGTGCCTGGCCAGAAATAAACGTTTTTATTGTGAGCCAACAGAAATTACTGATTCATGCATTAAAAATATTGAAGCAGATACAGTCCAAAGGCAGCATCATATTACTGTAGAGATACTACATGCAATCTGCTTGGAAGACTGTGCATAGTAAGCACTTATTAGGTAGATAATGGCACTCCCCTGAACTGAAAACAGAAGTTATAAATAATATTTAAAATCCAAAAACATGATGGTACTAATATTAGTACAAGAAATTACCACCTTATATCTTATATTAACTTAGCAAAAATTATTAATTAATATTTAATGAAATTGTCAGTTAGATGGTCAGTAAAAGGAAGTCTTTGGCCCACAGATCAAAATTCACAATACAATTTTATCCTTAATCTTTAAATACAAAATTACATTTACGAGCGTATTTTTAACTTCGCAGCAGAGATTTAAGCCAGTGGCAAATACAGAGGCTCTCAAGCCAGACTACCTCAGTTTAAATGTCTGCTTCTCAACTTTCTTGCTTTAATACCTTCAAAAGTAAAATACTGTTCACATGTATCTTACAGAGTTGTTATAAGTATGAAATGTCTGACTACATGTAAAATTCTTAGATTAATGCATAGTATACAGTAAGCACTCAGTAAATGTTAGCAGCTACTAAATAAAAAGTAGCCGCATTTTCAAAAATGATTCGGAACTTTCTAGTAATCACCAACATTACTTTCAGAAGCTCTAGTTGGAAATATTTGTTAAAATCTTCTCTTAAAATCTCAACAGATAGGGAGAAGGTGGAATCTCACACACTGCAGGTGGGAATGTAAAATGCTACCGCCACTTTGGAAAACAGTCCAGCAATCCCTCAAATGCTCAAACCTAGAGTTATCATATGATCCTGCAATTCTACTCCTAGGCTATATACTTGATAGAAATGAAAAATATGTCCAAATAAAAACTTGCACATGAATGTCCCTATCAGCATTATTATTAATAGCCAAAAGGTGGAAACCACCCAAATGCTCATCAATTAACCAATGATATATGCATGTGTTTGTTGTATCCATACATTGGAATATTACTCAGCAATGAAAAAGGATGAAGTGCTGGTTCATACCACAACCTGGGTGAACCTTGAAAACATTGTACTCAGTGAAAGAAGCCAGTCATAAGATGTTGTATGATTCCATTGATATTGAATGTCTAGAGTTGGCAAATCTATAGACACAGAGAGTGCATTAGTGATTGCCTAAGGTGGTGGTGGACAGTGTTTGGGGAGAAACAGGAGTTACTGCTAAAGGGAAGTGGGTTTCTTTTGGGAGTGATGAAAATCAAAATTGACTGTGGTGATGGTTACAAAACTCTGTGAATATACTAACAAACAATGAATTTTAGAATTTAAATGGGTGAATTTTATAGTATGTGAATTATATCTTAGTAAAACTGTATCTCCTCCGCTGTCCCTCCCTAAAATAAAACCAACCAAATCTCTGTATACCCATCACTTATTAAAGTACTTGGCAAAACACTGTGACTTAGTACTTTTGGGATAAGCGGATGAATGAATGTGCATTCACTTCACTTTAAATGTTTTTTCCCCTATTTTCATCTATTAGAGAAAACTGTAATCATGAGAAGAAACTTACAAAATTTGTAAACATCATCTTTCACATTTAGAGTTTGTTTTTATAATGTGACAAAGTTTTTCTGTTAAATATCTCACAGTTGCTGTACCTAGAAGTGCTTTAAGAACCTGAAATAGTACTAATGGTATGAAAAAGGTAGACTTATATTTCAACCTTTAATATAGAAAATATAATTTGCTCAAATTACTCACACTGTTCTAATTTCCATATGCTCTAAAGTAAGTATGAATAAGATTTAGACCTAATTGCTGGTGACATTAAAATTCATTCAATTCTTACTGTCAACAAATATTTACTGAATAAGTAACTATTTGCTAGGCACAGTGCTAGAAAGTGATATTACAAAAATGAATAACACAGCCTGGTGACAGAGATATTACAACAGAATTATGTACAAGAATATGATACATGCTATATTAGGGCTTGTGCCATGCGTACCACACCAAATGTTTTAAGAATGAAGAGAAAAAAAAGGAGGCTGGGTGTGGTGGCTCACGCCTGTAATCCCAGAACTTTAGGAGGCCGAGGCGGGAGGATCACTTGAGGTCAGGAGTTGGAGACCAGTCTGGCCAACATGGCAAAACCCCATCTCTACTAAAAATACAATAATTAGCTGGACGTGGTGGCACACACCTGTAATACCAGCTACTCAGGAGGCTGAGGCAAGAGAATCACTTGAACCTGGGAGGTGGAGGCTGCAGTGAGCTGAGATTGTGCCACTGCACTCCAGCCTGGAGGACAGAGTTAAAGTGTCTCAAAAAAAAAAAAAAAAAAAAAAAAAAAAAGAAAGAAAAAGAAAAGAAAAGAAAACAAAAAAAGAAGAGACCAGCACTTTGGGAGGCCGAGGTGGGTGGATCACTTGAGGTCAAGAGTTCAAGACCAGCCTGGCCAACATGGTGAAATCTCATCTCTATTAAAAATACAAAAATTAGCCAGGTGTGGTGGTGCGTTCCTGTAACCCCAGCTACTCGGGGCGGGGGGCTGAGGCAGGAGAATCGCTTGAACTTGGGAGGTGGAGGTTGCAGTGAGCCAAGATCACGCCACTGCACTGCAGCCTGGGCGACAGGCTGAGACTTCGTCTAAAAAAAAAAAAAGAGACAATGAAGAAGAGTGGCTAAAAGCTGGAGTAGTTCAAAATATTTCAGAGATAAGGGAAAATATAGGAATGATAGAGAAAAATAAGTAGGGGATTTCCAGGTAGAGATTTGTTTTTTATTGCTACAGGTTAAAGACACAGTTTAGGAATTACTCTTTTAGACAACAACAGTGTATTTTCATTAGCCATGAGGTTGTCAGTATTATAGGATGGAGGTATTTACAGTAGTGAGCAGAGAGCAGGCAGAGTCTTATATAACTGTGAGAACTCTGGAGCTGTCCCATGAAACTTTTAACGAGCTAAATTTTCTATTTTACAAAAGGACAACGTAAATAATTCATCTTTCAATATTAAGACAACATGTTAACTAATCAAAAATATCCTGGCTATCACAAAATTCAAAAGGAAAATGTCAAAATATCTACATGTTTATATTTTGAATTGAAAGATATTCTAAAAGTTGTTTCATGATTATGAACTGCACAATGGAGACCAATGTTTGGTTCACAAATGTGTGCTGTTAATTAGATTGAGAGTGATTGTATATGGTTTCTCACAAAGGCATCTTGAGTTCAACCATGTAAATTGATGGAATTATCAAAACATCAGACCTATTTCATTTCAACCTGGCTTTTATAACCAAGGTGTGTGTGTATGTGTATGGTGTGTATACATGTGTGGATGTGTGTGGATGTGTGCGTACATGTATAGTCTCCCCCAATATAAATGTGAGGCTACATTTTCAGGTTAAGAGGGCTAATGTGTATCTTGCCTTCTCATCACAAATTGTTCTACAAGTCCATCCATAATGATAATTATATCCTTCAATAGACGGCTGCTTACTTCCCAAATTTTAAACTGAACAAAAATATTACGGATCCACCAGATAATTTTAAATCTATCTACTTGAACTGCAAAATTAGGAGTTGAATGAAAACCTTACTTAGTGCAGTATGTTTAAAACTCATCTTTGGCTAGGTGCAGTGGCTCACGTCTGTAATCCTAATAGTTTTGGAGGCCGAGGTGGGTGCATCACCTGAGGTCAGGAGTTCGAGACCAGCCTGGGCAACATGGCAACATCCCATCTCTACTAAAAATACAAAACTTAGCTGGGTGTGGTAGTGGGCGACTGAAAGCCCAGCTACTTGGGAGGCTGAGGCGGGAGGTTGCAGTGAGCTGAGATCGCACCATTGCACTCCCACCTGGGTGACGGAGTGAGACTCCGTCTCAAAAAAAACAATTAAAAATTAAAAACGAAAAAAAAACCACGTCATCTTTGAGCATGTTAGTACTTGCTTTGATACAAAGGGTCTGCTTGAGTTTGTATTAAATCATTTAACTCTCCTTGTAGTTTCCTCTGTTATTAAATGATGAGAATGTTCCTAACCTATTGCAAATGATTACTTACCATGGAAATACAACCACAATTATACTCAAGATTATTCCAAGCACAAAGTTTTGCATGGAATCACTGTAACATTAACACTGTCTAATAAGAAACAAAACCCAAATCTTTCTGTTAGGAGATTATTCTCCATGGGTCTCCGGCCTTCTGCAATCTTACCTCACTACCTCTATGCTGGACTAGCTTTCCAAGGGGGTTTGTATAGGAAGCATCCTTATAAGACAAAGGTAGTGTCTTCCTCTGGATCAAAGGGCAGAAGTGCTTCCTGTCTGTCATAAAAGATTCGGGTTCCCTGAGCTCCGGGTTCCTCTCCTTTTAACACATCCTGCTGTGTGTGCAGGTGTCACTTCACATTGCCCTGTGGAAACTGGGGCCTGGAGATGTTGACAATGTGACTACTGCTATGGGGCAAGTAATAAACTATCCAGCTCCCTGACCCAGGAATCTCATGTCTTGGGGCCAATGTTTGGTTCACAAGTGTGTGCTGTTAATTAGATTGGGCACCAGCTGAGTGACTGTATATGATTTCTCACAAAGGCATCTCGAGTTCAAGATTGGCATCCATGAAACTGTGAGCAGCCTGCAAGAGGGATAAAGTCTCAGATACTTCACAGTTCCTGACACTGTCTATCATTTCCTTGACTTAGGCATTACATTCTTACTCTCTGAAGCTGTTATTTTGTTGTTGTTTTTGGGGACTTAATAAGCACATTTTAAAGATAAAAATAAAGCTTAAACTGAAATCAAAATACCAGTCTTTATTTTATTTTAATCAAAGACTGCCCTGACCTTTTTTTGAGATGAGATCATGAGGTGACGTTTAAGCTTTGTAAATGCTTATACATAACAAGTACTTTCAACAAAAAATTCTAACAATTCTTGATGCCTTATATGCCAGCTTAGAAGAAATCAATCATTGTTTACTTTTTCACTTAAATTTGCAGATGCTGATTAAAAGGCGATTACTATTTTTTTTACACTTAGGTCTTTCTTTAATCAAAATTGACTATATCTCTATAAATGGGAATCAGGGATCTGCTATTACACAAAAATAGATGTCAACATATGAAAATTAAATAAATGAACTTTGCCACTGCCCTGTAATTAAGTGATAAAGATTTCATTCACTTTTCTAAGGTTTTAATCATTTATGATAACTTTTATTTTCTTAAGGAAAAATTGAACTTTGATTTTAAAAATTCTAAAGTTTTCCTAAAATATAGCACTAATATGTAATGGAGCAAACTTTCAAAGTCACATTCTATTTCATTAGAAATTTGTCTACAAATGGCCGGGCGCAGTGGCTCATGCCTGTAATCCTAGCACTTTGGGAGGCCGAGGCGTGTGGATCACGAGGTCAGGAGATCAAGACCATCCTGGCTAACACAGTGATAACCCATCTCTACTAAAAATACAAAAAAAAAAAAAAAAAAAATTAGCCAGGCGTGGTGGCGGGCGCCTGTAGTCCCAGCTATTCAGGAGGCTGAGGCAGGAGAATGGCGTGAACCCAGAAGGCGGAGCTTGCAGTGAGCCGAGATCGCGCCACTGCACTCCAGCCTGGGCAACAGAGTGAGATTCCGTCTCAAAAAAAAAAGAAGAAGAAAAAAAGAAAAAGAAAGAAATTTGTGTATAAATACAAGTTTTAAGAGCCCCCCCTCCTCCTTCTTAATAAATATTAATGCATTTGCTCCTCCACTAAAAACACTTTAAGAAAATCAACAGCCATGGCGATCTCATGGCTGTGATGTGCTCAGGGCAAGCATCTATGTAACATATCCCTATTCTGCAACACCTCACCCAGCAGACAGAATGTTTACCTAAAACTCCCTGAGCTTATGAAAACTTCAACAATCATGTCAACATTTAAGCTCGTTCCCAATTAACCAGTCTTACCAAGCATCACTTCTATGAACATTTTAAAGAAAAACCAGTGAAGTGGTGAAATCAACTCTGTCCAAGCTTGCATGCAACTCTAGGAAGGCGGTTAGCTTATCTCTCAACTAGTTCTTATATTACACCACTATATTTAACATCTGACTTTTGTTGCTGTTTATAATATTACCCTTTATTTTCCTTCAATTTTAGAACCTCAGTTTGTGGCCACCTACAGAATAAACTTTCAGCTTTACCAAATTTTCTCTTCTTATGAGAGATGCACAACACTTAATAGAGAGAACACTATTTTTCAAGCTGCAATATACTGTGGTGTTTTCATGTTAGACATAAATAGTGTCAGTGAAAATGTTGATCAAAGAAATGAAATTCTAATAGGATGTCAGAAGAAGCAGATTAAACAAATGATCTAGCTGTTCCAAAGACATCAAAATGCAAAATAATTCTTTTCTGGAGGTATTACTTAGCCAAATGTAATTTCTTTAGCAATTTCAAGAAAGAATAGGAAGTGTTAATGTTAGTTTAATTATAGAAATAATGTCAAGTGACAATGGCAGGGAAGAAACTGAATGCTGATTTGATCTACACACAGTGACATGGACATTTAGAAAATATATTATATGATAATTATATAATCCTGGCTAAATTCTTTGATAGGTTTCAGTTGCCCCTGTAAATGTTCTAAAATTAAATTCAGGAGGGTATATTGTGATATTTAAGAATTTAACAAAGTTATCTCAAGAACATCTCACACTCTCATGCTATCTGCAATCCTTGAATATATGGTGACTAATATATCTTAATGTATTTTTGTATATCAATATTTTATCATGTTATTTCTTAAGACGACAACTCCAAATAACAAAGTGTTGAAAGAAAATATCAGAACCACCAATATTTTTCTTTCCTTGACATACTTGCAGATATATATTTTTATGTTTATAACAGAAGTTAATAAAGAAACATGCCCAGCTTATTATTTCTGGATTGATTGCAGAAACAGCTACTACCTTTTTTGATGATGTGGAAGTTTATGCATGTATTGAGGAGGCAATAGCTGTGATAAATTACTTCAAGAAAATAACACTTTCCATTGCCTTTCTTTTTTTCCTTACAACCTGTGTTATGGAGTGAAATGTACTTGGCCTTGTCTTCAGGAGGCAGAAGCAATCATTTGCAGAATAGGCTTTGTGTGCTAACATTTAATATTAATCTATTCCCAGGCATTATATTATTAACTTTGAATAGATGCTGACAAGTCTTGTTTTTGGAGGGAGGTGGGGCAGGGTATCGCTCTGTCACCCAGGCTGAAGTGCAGTGTTGCCATCATGGCTCACTGCAGCCTTGACCTCCCAGGCTCAAGTAATCCTCCCACCTCACCCTCAAGAGTAAGCAGGACAATAGGCATGTGCCACTACACAGGGCAATTTTTTTTATTCTTGTTTTTTTTTTAGAGACAGGAGTCTCACTATGTTGCCCAGGCTGGTCTCATATGCCTGTGCTCAAAGGATCCTCCTGCATCGGTCTCCCAAAGTGCTGGAATTACAGGCATGAGCCACCACATCCATTTCACTTTTGCTTTTTTTTTAATGTGCCATTGTTGCATCTGTTTCTACTGAAGAATAAAACAGATACCACTATGCTCTTTGTTTTCCTTTTTTTTTTCTTTTAATCACTACCCATTTATTAAAGGCTAGGTGGATTTGGGTAATTCATCACTGCTAAGTAAGGTAACTAAGAGCACGTTTATGGATATATTATATACACTGGTTACCTCGTTTCAATAAATAAGCAGCTGGTAAGTCATCTCCCAGTTTTATCCCCAACTTCTAAAAGAAAAATAGGTCGAAAAAATTAACAAATCTGGTTAGGAAAAATACACTGAGCCCAACTATTATGATTCCCTGGATTCTATTATTACGTTTATTTATTAGTATTATGAGTCTTTGCTAAAATGTTGACTTCTTATGGAAGGCCTCTCAACAGTGCTGTTTAAAAATCACACGTAATCAATCCTTTCACTCGGCACACCCTAACCTTTTTCCCTTCTTCCTTTTTCTCCACAGCTTTCATCAATATCAAACACAATTCATCATGAAAATCAAGATTTATTCGTTTTGTTCACTACTCTATCCCCAATGTCTGGCACATACTAGCTGCTCAATAAATAAGAATGAATGTGTAGTATACCACATGGATGAAGTATGGGAGGTATTCATTCAAGCACTTATCATGCGCTCTCCTAAATTACTTAACATCAGTGACTGCCCCCACTCCACCCGCTCCTCATCCAGCCTCCACTGAATGAGGAAACAGCACCATGAATGAATAGCTCATGATAAAAATTTAGCGATCGTCATCAGTGTATCCCTTTATCCCTATCATTGAGCCTTTGGTTCTATCTCCAAAATATTTATTAGATTTCTCTACCTCTCTCCATCTGCATTGTCGTGACCATTATCTGTCTTTTGAATCAGAGCAATACTCTCAGAACAGGACTCCCAAAGGCAGTCAGAGGAATCCCTTGACACAAGAAAAAACTCACGTCACTTCCTACTTTAAAGGCCTCAATGGCCTTCTATTGTTCACAGGATAAAATCTACACTCCTTACTGCAGCCTACAGGGCTGCACGGCCTGGCTCCCACTTGTCCTCCAGCCTCAACCCCCTGTCACGCTCCCGCTACGCCGCCCACCGAGCTCCCGCTATGCTGTGTCTGGAAGAAGCCAACCCCTTGCTGGATTTTACACCTTGGTACTTGTTGTTCCCTTTGCCTGGAGCACTCTTGCCTCCTATCTTTCCATGACTCATTCACAGCCTCTAGAGAGTATCTCAAATGCCAGCTGCACAGGTCTTCCTGTGACCACCCTAATTAAGCAGCCTCCCTAACTACTCTCTCATCACCTTGTTTACTGCTACCGTGGTTCTTATCACCACTTTGTTAACTTACTCTTTGTTAAATGTAAGCCCCGACAGGACAGGGACTTTGCCTCTGTATATTCACAGGGACTAATAAAATACGTGGAACATGGAAATTGCTCCATATATAACAACCGAATCAATAAATAGAACATTCTCCCTCACTTGGGTGGCATCCCTCGTCTCACTAATTAGAATGCCTGGCACAGAAGAGACATGCTACAAATGTTGAAGTGAATGAGAAAACTGAAATCTTTTATTGTATCCTGAGTGGCACCCAGAAAGATCTTTGTTCATTAATATTTGCATATAATAACTGGACTGAGAGAAAAATGAATTCATTTGATTGACATTTACTCAGTGTCTGTCCAGTGCTGGAAAGAGCATATGGCAATTTGGCTTGCAAGCACAGAACAGAGGATATCATTTCTAAACTGTTCGGTAATCCCATAAATATAGGACACACACATTTCACCAAGGCATTTGGCAAAGTTTCTCATTATATCTTGTCTTTAACATGCAGGAATGCAGATTGGATGGTAGCCCAGCTGATGGGTTTGGTACTAGAGAGTGGTTAGATGAAGACAGCTTAAGCATGTTCAACAGCTCTTTCAATGCAGCAAATATTTCTTGAGCAGCTCCGGCCAGCCAAGTACTGAGCTTGAGGCTAGAGTAATAAAATAATTAAGTGTGGTCTCTTACCTAGAAGGGTGCATAAGTCTTCCCGTAAAACATTTCAGATCTCTGCCCTGTACCATTGACATTATTTTTAAATTAATATATTGGATGGATATATACAGAATGTACTTCTATCAAAATCATATGAGAATTTTAGGGGAAAAAACAGAAGAAATAATAAATCAGGATCCAAGAGATGATAGGTATCTCAAAGGCTGGAATGAATTCTTTAAATTAAATTTAGTGCAGATATGAGGTCCTACCAATGAATCCAAAATACCAACTACATATTTACAAAATGGGGGAAATATGGAATGTATCCACTCATAAACATTCCTTAGGGATTTTAATTTACAGTACTCTATAAAAATCTATTGTGATATAGTGATCACAGAAACTAGTTTCACCTTCTGGTGTATTTACAAGGAAGTAATCAGCCTGTGCTCAGACCACACTTAAGACTACTGTGTTTGAAGGCACGCACCACACTATAAGAAAAGTTCAGAGGAGGCGGTCGAGATGGACACGAGGATCCTTGCTGCAACAGCCAATGGTGTTGCTAAAACACTGACACTAATGAAGAATTTGTGGAATGTTAAGAAAGTGGGGGGGTTGCAGGGGGGGGTGGGTGACAGAGGAAGTCATTCTACAAAAAGGTACTTGCAGATGCATGTTTATAGCAGCACAGTTCCAGGTTGCAAAAATGCGGAACCAGCCCAAATGCCCATCAATCAATGAGTGGATCAAGAAACTGTGGTATGTGTGTGTGTGTGTATACACACACACACACACACACATACACATACTACTCAGCCATTAAAAGGAATGAATTAATGGCATTTGCAGCAACCTGGATGGGAATGGAGATGATTCTTCTAAGTGAAGTAACTCAGGAATGGCAAACCAAATATCGTATGTTCTCACTCATAAGTGGGAGCTAAGCCATGAAGATGCAAAGGCCTAAGAATGACACAGTGGACTCTGGGGACTCAACAGGAAAGGATGGGAAGGGGGTGAGGGATAAAAGACTACAAATTGGGTTCAGTGTATACTGCTTGGATGATGGGTTCACCAAAATCTCACAAATCGCTACTAAAGAACTTACACATGTAGCCAAATATCACCTGTTCCCCAAAAACCTATGGAAATAAAAAATTTAAAAAAAGAAAGTGTGGGTGAATGGTAGAGAAGGAGGGAGCTAACTGTCCATAAGTATTCAAAGAGCAGGTATGCAGAAGAAATAGTAAACCTGTTTTACACGATCCTAGGGCACAGGACTAGGAAACTACATGAGGACAGATTTTGATTCACCATAAAAAGGCCTGACTATCAGTGCTGTCCTGCGAAAGTGAAGCATCTCGTGAGGAAGTCAGCTCTCTATCAATGACAGGTCTCCCACGGCCACTGGGACATCCTCTGGACAAAGACATCAGACTCAGGACTTAAACGCTGCATAGACAGCAGATTTCTAGACCCTATGTCCTTGACATTTTATGATATAATGAAAAGGGAACTAAAAAATAAGGAAGTATACATTTTCATTCACTCAACCAATGCTTGCTATGGCTAGGCGCTGTTTTAGGCACCGTGGACACAGCAGCTAACTTAGGCAAAGTAATCCCAGCATTTTGGGAGGCTGAGGCAGGCAGATCACGAGGTCAGGAGTTCAAGACCAGCCTGGCCAACACAGTGAAACCCCGCCTCCACTACTAGTACAACAATTAGCCAGGCGTGGTGGCAGGCGCTACTTGGGAAGCTGAGGCAGGAGAATCGCTTGAACCCGGGAGGCGGAGGTTGCAGTGAGCCAAGATTGCATTACTGCACTCCAGCCTAGGCAACACTGCGAAACTCTGTCTCAAAAAAAAGTATGCTTGTGAAGCATACATTCTAGATGGTTTGGGACAAAATGAAACACAAGCATAAAACACCAATCTTTGGGTTTGAGAGGATACTTGGTGCTAGTTTGAGGCAAAGCTACACCTGAGGCATTCACACTTTAATTTTGTTTATTTATTTTTAAATTTTATTTATTTGTTTTTTTGAGATGGAGTCTCATTCTGTGGCCCAGGCTGGAATGCAGTGGTGCAATCTCGGCTCACTGCAAACTCCAGCTCCCAGTTTCAAGTCATTCTCCTGCCTCAGTCTCCTGAGTAACTGGTATTACAGGTGTGCGCCACCATGCCTAATTTCTGTATTTTTAGTAGAGATGGGGTGGGGCGGTTTCACCATGTTGGCCAGAATGGTCTCAAACTCCTGACCTTAGGTGATCGGCCAGCCTCGGCTACCCAAAGTGCTGGGATTACAGGCATGACCCACCACGCCCAGCCCACACTCTATTTTTTATTTATTTATTTATTTTCATTTTTATTTATTTATTTATTTATTGACAGAGTTTTGCTTGTCACCCAGGCTGGAGTGCAGTGGCACAATCTTGGCTCACCGCAACATCCACCTCCCGGGTTCAAGCGATTCTCCTGCCTCAGCCTCCTGAGTAGCTGGGATTACAGTCACCTGCCACCGCTCCCGGCTAATTTTTGTATTTTTAGTAGAGATGGGTTTTCACCATGTTGGCCAGGCTGGTCTCGAACTCCTGACCTCAGGTGATTCACCTGCCTCAGCCTTCCAAAGTGCTGGGATTACAGGCGTGAGCCACTGTACCTCGCCTCCACACTTTATTTTTAAGCTGGAAGTTATCATAGATAGAGCCATTTGTTACAATAACTGCAGTAGACCTTTTGCCTTTATTCCCGCTATATGTTCTCCTTTCCTTTCTAACCTGTGGCTTCCACTCCTCACCACTGCAAAACAATTTACAATTAATTGCTTATACTGCAATTATTAATAAAATATATTTTGCCATTTACTAAACTATTAGATATGTTTTCTGAGTTTTTACACATTAAAACTTTCCACAGTAAACATTATAAGTGTTCATTATTAGAATTCATAAATTATACAGAAGTGCAAAAACTAAAGGATGTATCTACTTCTGTTACTTTCACAGAATAATCTATGCATATGTACTAATACAGATTTAGACATATGTTATCCCAAATCTGGTAGTACTTTTGTAGCTTTTCATTTTATTCTAGTACTAAAATTATTAGAACACTAGTCTTTTTGGAATTGATTTTTAAAGTCCCCTAATTGGAATTGCAGCCATCTTTTTGGTCTGTCCTCCGATTGAAGAAGATCTAACAGTGCAATCATCATATGACACTTAATAAGCATCCTTGCTGGGCACCTGGTCCATAAGAACATTGAGAATAAATACTTTCCTGACATTCAGTCAGATTGATTGATGCACATCAAGTCAATGACACTGGGGAACGCTTTGTGGATGGAATGACTACATAATAACAGGAAAACTCTAGGAAGATACACTTAATGAATCCTTATTGATCTAAATACACCTAAAACTTGTTTGTAACTTTAACCTCTGCCACATTATAGAGGAAGACATTCCAAACTCAAACTTTTTTTTTATATACTTTAAGTTCTAGGGTACATGGGCACAACATGCAGGTTTGTTACATATGTATACATGTGCCATGTGGGTGTGCTGCCCCCATTAACTCATCATTTACATTAGGTATATCTCCTAATGCTACCCCTCCCCCCACCCCCCACCCCAAGACAGGTGTGATGTTCCCCACTCTGTGTCCAAGTGTTCTCATTGTTCAATTCCCACCTATGAGTGAGAACATGCAGTCCAAACTCTAACTTTTATTTTATTTTATTTTATTTTATTTTATTTTATTTTTTGAGACGGAGTCTCGCTCTGTCGCCCAGGCCAGACTGCGGACTGCAGTGGCGCAATCTCGGCTCACTGCAAGCTCCGCTTCCCGGGTTCACGCCATTCTCCTGCCTCAGCCTCCCGAGTAGCTGGGACTACAGGCGCCCGCCACCACGCCCGGCTAATTTTTTTTTTGTATTTTTAGTAGAGACGGGGTTTCACCTTGTTAGCCAGGATGGTCTCGATCTCCTGACCTCATGATCCACCCGCCTTGGCCTCCCAAAGTGCTGGGATTACAGGTGTGAGCCACCGCGCCCGGCCCCAAACTTTTATTTTATATATATATATCTTAGTAGAAGTTGAACAAATATTTCCGAAGCTGTTCAGAACAAGGTAGAATTCAACATACTGGAAATGTGTGTGTGGCCTGAAAATTATAGCCAGCTACTCCAGAAACCTATAGTTGTGGTGTTTTGGAATTTGGTGACTTGGCCATGGTTATTCAATTAAGGAAAATATTCTCATACTTATTTTTATATCAGTCTTTCCTACTCAGGTCCTTCAAAGAAAACATGGTTAAACCTATTCTCTCCCCTTCATAGTTGCTTAATTTTATTTTTTCCAACCCAGGAAGTCCTAACTTGTACAAGTGTATCCTCATAAAATACTAATGCCTTGGTCATGTTATCTACTCTGAAGTCATTTTAAGCCTTTCCCTTTGCTAGGATGCTTACCACAACTGGATATTTCAAGTATGGAAGCACCATGATGTGAAGCAAAGATGGGAAAGTAGTTTTATTTCTGTTTGCAAACAAATGATGTCTCCTTCTTCACTGGTATTTTAGGTAAAGGCATTAGGAAAAACTACTGGCTTCAGAGAAGAGGACTTAATGACACTAAGTTGTGTGATCTGGTGAACACACTTTGAATCAGTTTTGTCCAAATGCATTTCCCTATGTTTGCCAACATCAAGCTCCCTATTATAACATAGTTTCTAGAACAGTGCTGCCCAATAGAAGGACTAGTAAAGCCACCGATGTGGGCCACATATAAAATTTTAAATTTTCTGGTGGCCATGATAAAAAAGTAAAAATATGCAGATATAATTTTAATATTTTATGTAGATGCAAAATATTATGATTTCAACAAATAATCAATATAGGAGGTATTAATAAGATAGTGGTCATTCTTTTTTTGTACCAAGTTTTTGAAATTGGGTGTATGTTTTGTAATTACAGCACAACTCAGTTGGGACTGTCCATATGTGGCTAACGGCTACTATATTGGCAGACAATTCTAGAACCAAGCTGAAAACCATAAACTGATGGCAAGTGTGGAAAGAGCACAGTTTGCACTCTCAGACTACTAGATTACCTAGACTCTTTACTCTTGAAACATCAAATATGAATTCATCTATTAAAAATGTCACCATAATTATAGATGTAGGTTAGCCTTTCTTTTACAATGATGGGGTAAAAATAACTGATTTCCCACCAGCTTTCCGGTGCAACATCCATTACCATAATAAAGCAAATTTAAATTTAATTAGAATGTAATTAAAGGTAATGTGGGTGATTCCAGGATAGCTGATTTGTTTTACTAGTAACAGAAACGCCCTTTGCCACTTATATGAAGCTGGAACAATATTAATCAAATGACTTATTATCTGAGAGAACAAAGTACAGAAATATTTACATAACATAGTACCATAGGCAGAATATCCACGTTAAACTAATGTTAAGAACGACAAAGGGAAGATACGCCAGCATAATACATCTTACTTCTTTTCCAATAATACAACTGGGACATTGCAAATACCCAACTTCTAGAATCTGTCAGGAAGAGTAATCTACATGTATTTAATTCTCTCCTGCACATGTTGAATGACTAAATTGTGAAAATATATTTGAATGCTTTTTTTTAGAAATCACTATACTTCTTTGTTAGGTTACTTAATTTTTAGCATAAACCCACCAAATCCCATGTCAATTGTTAAAAATGGATCTATTCAAGCCTACAGTATAAATTTATGGTTTCCCAGGAAATCACAGGAAAGTTGTTGTAAAAGGTATTAAAATTATTGCCAATAAATCCCATGTTTAAAAATATTCTATTAAATGTAAATGTTGAAAGTAGTATTAATAACAGCTATGTTCAAAGAAAACTTTAAGGGCAAACATAAAACAATTTACTTGGAAGGCCATATTACAAGATTCAAAGATTTGCTAGATTCTTTGAACAGGTTTCGATGGGAGATGATGATCTTGTGATCTGTAGATAAGAGACTCTGAATATCAAGTGATCAGAAACCAAAGCAGAGATAAGGCTACTGAAAATAGCCTATTTCCTGTGCTGGTCTGGACCTAGGCTTTGGGGTATAGGCAGGCCTGATACCAGAAGTCCGATGTAGCAAAAGGAATGAAGGAAAAAGATGAAGAGACAAAAACATGCTGACACTGTCATTATTTCTACAAATGTCAAAATAAAATTCAAAATGAAATCGATTTTTTAATTATAAAAATTCTTCTGAGAATTGTTTATTTTCCCCTCCAGACATAAGTAAACTTAAGGCAAGGAATCATATTTACCTTCTGATATGCTTCACATAGAATTTGCCACTTTTTATCAGCAATATTAAAAATGATTATGTGATGAATAGCTTTCAGTCTATACGCCCTGAGAGCAGGCAAGAAAAATTATTCAAAAAAACAAAATGCTTCTCACTATTAACCAAAAAACAGCCTATGAAAAGGCACAGTCAAATGATCTTGGTCAACAAGGCTAAGGCACCCATTCATTATTTATTGAGGGCTTATTGGGTATAAGGACATCTAAGAATTATTCAACGTCAAGTGTTGTGGGCCAAAAGCCACAAGAGAAAAGGATTTTCACTTCCAAGTCCAGCCTAATAGTTCCAATCTTGGAAAGAACGAGAGAAATAACAGAGGAAGAGAAAAGAAAGAGAAACTTGGAGGAGGAACAAATAAACAGCAGACATGTTGTTACTGGAGAAGACAAAAAATGCAGTGAGAAGATAGAGACGTAAGAACCGCGCAGGTACATGCATGTATGCATGTGTGTGCATGTGTATGCATGTGAGTGTGTGTGTGCATGAGTGTGTGTGTGTTTGCATGAGTGTGCATGTGAGTGTACGTGTGCAAATCAAGAGACACAAGCACAGGGCTGCGTGTGCAATGCGGCTAGCTGCGTCATGCCTCCGGAAGTACAAAACACCACTATTTATTTATTTACGCCTCTGGAAGTACAAAACAGCACTATTTATCTATTTATGTATTTTGAGACGGAGTCTCGCTTTGTCGCAATCTCAGCTCACTGCAGTGGCGCAATCTCAGCTCACTGCAACCTCCGCCTCCCGGGCTCAAGTGATTCTCCTGCCTCAGCCTCCCAAGTAGCTGGGATTACAGGCGCACACCACCATGCCCAGCTAATTTTTGTATTTTTAGTAGAGACAGGGTTTCACCATGTTGGACAGGATGGTCTTGTTCTCACCTCGTGAGCCGCCTGCCTTGGCCTCCCAAAGTGCTGGGATTACAGGCGTGAGCCACCGCACCTGGCCTAACACCACTCTTTTTTTTTTTTTTTTTGAGACGGAGTTTCACTCTTGTTTCCCAGGTTGGAGTGCAATGGCACGATCTCAGCTCACTGCAACCTCCGCCTCTCGGTTTCAAACGATTCTCCTGCCTCAGCCTCCCGAGTAGCTGGGATTACAGGCATGTGCCACCACGCCCTACTTATTTTTATTTATTTATTTATGTATTTTTAGTAGATACGGGGTTTCTCCATGTTGGTCAGGCTGATCTCAAACTCCCGACCTCAGGTGATCCACCCGCCTCGGCCTCCCAAAGTGCTGGGATTACAGGTGTGAGCCACCGCGCCCAGCCCACTCTTTTTGAGGGTAGGGTTCACAACTGTGTATATGTAAAATTTTTAGTCTCAAGATTTCTTTAAAGTGGTAAACAGTCATGCTGCAGACTCATAAACTGTGTAAATTCATACAAAAGTTTAGTAAATCTTCTCAATCCCGTTTGTATAGGCTTTCTTAAGTGAAACAAAGGGGCAGAAATAAACAATAGGTAATGATAACTGTGGAAAAGAAAACAGGCAGCACAGCATGAGGAAAGGACGAGCACAGGGAAGCCCAATGGGTCAGAATGATGTGCAAGCTCGGTCTTGCCTGGTTCAACCTCATGAACAAGAGAAGATCAGCAAACGTGATACCCCAGCCACAAGAGTAACACTGATAATAATAATTACGATTCTATCGTCATCATTCATGTGGAGGTGCATGCCAGGTGCTTTCGAATTGTTAACCACCCACAAGAAGCCTGAACACCTAGAGTTCTCCTCATCGTGTACATAAGCAAAGGGAAGGGAGAGAGAGTCTTTAATTGGCCCCAGAATATACAGCAATAAATGGAGGAGCTGAGGAGTAAGGCCAACTGGTTCTGAAATCCTGCCTGTGGTGTCTGGCTGTAAAACTCTGACTCTTGCCTAAGCTGAAGTCTAGCCTGGGACCTGAAGTGCAGCAACTCTGACTGAAGCTGGATGGTTACTCTACTTCCAGTATTGTGCTCAATGAAGAGGTCAGTTTTTGAGCAAATACACTTGACTCTTTGAGGGAGTTAAGAAAAATGAAATTGAAATAAAGCCAGAATATACACCAGAGAAAATTTTGGTGTCTATTTTCCTGAAATCACACAATCTATCTTAAAATTTTTACAATGCTCAAAGGTGTTTCATCATTGCCCACCAACTTCTATCCTGGTAGGTACCAGGAAATTATCATCTCTCAGGTTTCAAATAAAGCAGGTATAGGCCAGCTGTTCTTGCTCACAGTGATACTACAGGCAGTCAAAAAATAAATTCGCTGATGAATGTTACCTCCTAGAACTTCCACGCGTGGGACTTACACACTGATGCACGAGTTTCCATTGGCATTTTTGACAGCATCTATACTCCTCTTATATCAACAGAATATGTCCAGAACTACTGGCTTTATAAGAGTCGAGTTATGCAGTTGCTACACAGGGTCATTTTGCCAGTCCTTTCATTCAAAACCATCTTTGGTGACTCCCTTCATTGAGAACAAGATGCAAAGTCTTCAGGTGTTCACAGTCCTTTACGATTCCCTTTTTCCACCTATTTCTTGCTATACTTTCCCCTTTCAGTATCCACTCTTTTCTCATCCTCCTCCTCTCTGCTGCGGCCTCTCCTACTTCACAAACACCAGCCACAGGGAGCTTGTTTCTAGGTCATGCTTCATATTCTCCTGCATAACTGCATGTTCTCTGGGATAACCTTTCCCCTACAGCATCTCTAACTATTCAGGAAGCTAACCTTGTGGAAGGTCCATTCAAATTATACCCGTCTTACAAATCCTGCTCTATCTCTTGCTGTTGTTTGGCAACACTAGGATCCTTTACTGTTTGTCAGCCTCATCCTGTTTCCCGGCTTCTGCAACTGTTTTTCTCAGTACAGTGCAGAGTCCCAGAGTGCAGGGTCCTAAAGCGCAGGGTCCTAGAGCACAGGGTCCTAGAGCGCAGAGTCCTAGAGCACAGGGCGAACATGGTTATCCACGGTGAGATCTTCTTCCCCTAGTACCTACCACAGTCTCCCATATAGGAGACATTCACATGTATTTGTTTAATTTTATGAACAACTGTAGAGCTTACTCTGAGAAAAGAGGTTTCATACTGACCTGTAATTGGATATTCTCTTTCTGGCCTAGTATATAACCTCCCTGATTCAGGCTGCGGCTCAGAGTTCTTCAAAGAGTAAGTACAGTTATCACTGTTGAAAGTGACTCTGGCTGTAAACATCAAAGACGTGATTTCTAATGTTGTTGTGGCTGAAACTCCGCTTAAACACTAGGGAGAACAACAAGTCCACAGAAGTCACATGTCTGTTCATTAAACGCACAGGAAGACCTTGAACTAAACCCTTCACAAAACATCTAACACAGAGCTTGCAATGGTGAGGAGCCTCTCTCTCCTGCACAGCCAGTGAACAATCTAGGCTTGGAGAGACAGAGAGAAGAGCAAGAGCATTCTAATAAGCAGGTGTCTGTGACCTCCTGAGTAACCAACCGTGAAACCAAGAGATAAGTACAGTCATGGGTCACTGAACAACGAGGACACATTTTAAGAATTGCGTTGTTAGGGGATTTTGTTTTGGGAACACCACGGAAGGGACTTACATAAACCCAGATGGTACAGGCGACTCCACACCTAGGCTCTATGGGGCAGCCTGCTGCTCTTGGCTACAAACCGGCACAACATGTTTACTGAATGCCTTAGGCAACTGTAACACAACAAGAAACATTTGTATATATAAACACAAAAAAGTAAAGTAAAAACACAGTATAAAAGGTAAAAAATGGGACACTCGTCTAGGAAACATGGAGTTTGCAGAACTGGAAGTTGCTCTGGGTGATCAGGGAGCGAGTGGCGAGTGAATGGGAAGACCTAGGACATGACTGTCCATTACCACAGACTTCACCAACACTGCACACTCAGGCTACGCTAAAGTTAGAAAAAAACATTTCCTTTCCTCTGTGATAAATTAACTTTAGCTTACTGTAACTTTTTTTACTTTATAAACTTTTTAACTTTTTGACTCTTTTAATAATACCGGTTTAACACACAAATGTATTGCACAGCTACACAAAAGTATTCCTTCTTCATATCCTTACTCTATATGCTGTTTTCCACCTTAAAAAAAAAAACAACCTTTAAAACTTTTTTCTTTTTTTTTGAGACGGTGTCATGCTCTGTTGCCCGGGTTGGAGTGCGGTGGTGTGATCTTGGCTCACTGAAACCTCTGTATCCCAGGTTCAGGAGATTCTCCTGCCTCAGTCTCCTGAGTAGCTGGGATTACAGGCGCATGCCAACATCCCCAGCTAATTTTTTTTGTATTTTTAGTAGAGATGGGGTTTCACCATGTTGGCCAGGCTGGTCTTGAACTCCGTATCTCAGGTGATTTGCCCACCTAAGCCTCCCAAACTGCTGGGATAACAGGCTTGAGCCACCATGCCTGGCCTATCTTTAAAACATTTTTGTTAAAAAGCAAGACATAAACACACAGTAGCCTGGGCTTAGAGAGGGTCAAGATCATCAATATCACTGTCTCCCACCTCCACTCACATCTGGTCCCACTGGAGGGTCTTCAGGGACAATAACAAACATAGAGCTGTCATCTCCTGTGATCACAATGCCTTCTTTTGGACACCTGCTGAAGGACCTGCCTGAGGCTGTTTTACAGTTATCTGTTTTTTTTTCTCAAAAATAATTAGTAGGAGCCAGGCGCAGTGGCTCACGCCTGTAATCCAGCACTTTGGGAGGTCGAGGCAGGCAGATCACGAGGTCAAGAGATTGAGACCATCCTGGCCAACATAGTGAAACCTCGTCTCTACTGAAAATACAAAAATTCGCTGGGCGTGGTGGCGCATGCCTGTAATCTCAGCTACTTGGGAGGCTGAGGCAGGACAATCGCTTAAACCCGGGAGGTGGAGGTTGCAGTGGGCCAAGATTGTGCCACTGCACTCCAGCCTGGGTGAGAGAGCAAGATTTTGTCTCAAAAAAAAAAAAAATAGTATAAGTTCTATAAAATAACTATAAATACACAAACCAGTAATATGGTCATTTTTCTAATCACGTACTATACATAATTGTATGTGCTGGACTTTTACACAATTGGTATCGTAGTAGGCTCATTGACCCCAGGGTCACCACGCACACGAGGAACGCATTGTACTAGGATGTTACCATGGCGAAGACATCACTAGGCTATAGGAGCTTTTCAGCTCCATGACAATCTTATGGGACCACCCTTGCAGATGTGGTCTGTCACTAACTGAAATGTCATGGGGCACATGGCTGTATACATTTTTTTACTGTATTTGAATGATACGGACAATTACTGACGACCAAAAATAGGGAGGAGAGGAAGAAGATGACATGGAAGTAAGTAGAAACTATTTCTGAAGGAGAAAAACTTACATGGGAAAAAGACTCCTTCTTTGTGCCATGGATTTGCCAGTTGACATGACTGAAAAGCAGTCACCCAAACAATGACCAGGAGGACCGAGTGCTGCTGGTGAAGCCCACCAGAGACCAGCGGACGGGGACTGCTGCTGTGTTAGCGAGGGGAAAAACAGCCTAGGACACTGCCCACCCCATCTTCAAGGGCTTCCCTGACTCTAGCAAATCATAAAAACCAAAACCCATAAATGATGAGGCCACCAAGTCATAAAGAAGAAGTCAAACCCAATCATTACCCTTTTGTTAGATAGTATGGAAGGAGACAGTGTATTTTAACTGATTCTCTTTTTTTTTAAGACAGAGTCTTGCTCTGTCACCCAGCCTGGAGCGCAGTGGCACGATCTCACCTCACTGCACCCTCCGCCTCCTGGGTTCAAGTGATTCTCCCGCCTCAGCCTCCTGAGTACCTGGCACTACAGGTGTGCACCACCAAGCCCAGCTAATTTTTGTGTGTGTGTGTGTGTGTGTATTTTTAGTAAAGACAGAGTTTTGCCATGTTGGCCAGCTTGTCCCAAACTCCTGACCTCAAGTGATCTGCCTACCTCAGCCTCTCAAAGTGCTGGGATTACAGGCATGAGCCACTGCGCCTGGCCTAAACTGATTTTCATTCTACTAGAATTAATGTTCTCATATAAAGAATTAAGTAGTCAGCTATATGGAAAAGTGAAGCTTTCAAAAATAACCCATTCCCTATTGATCTAGCCAGCTTCAGATTTATAATAGCAAACAGGATACCAAATTATAACGAGACCACAAATTCTTATCTGCAGAATCCTCATGTCCATGGAGAGGTAAACTTAAGTCTCTTCAAAATCTGTAAATACTATTAGCTAATTATTCTGAAACTGGTTGCTGATACATTTTAAGGTTTCTCTTAAAGTTAACTCACTTTCTAAGATTCTACCACTACTGGTGGGGGAAAAAAAAGCAGTTTTTTTGTTAACGTATAATGTTTCCATTAAGTGGAAATTCAAGGGCAGGCAGATGCTATCTCTTAAGAGTTGAGCATTTTGTATTAAAATTAACCAGCATGATATTTGGCATCTCACTGGGATGCAAAAGGGAACATTATTTGCTGCTGCGTGCCATTAGTGCCAGAAACATTTTTTCATAAAATGAAGAGTGCAGCTCCACTAATCTATTAGTCCTAAGCCATTTTAGATCATACCATTGATTAACTAAAATATTTTTTTTTCAAATGACGGCTGATGACAGAGCACTACCTTAAAAGTCAAAGAACTATAAATTAAACATGAATCCAGTTACCATGTTCTGTCAAAACAAGAAATACATGCGTGTGTTTGTGTCCTTTATATGGGCCAACATAAGCTTTTCCTATTATTTCTGGAAATATTCAGATTTATTAGCACACATAAAATCCTCAGACTGAAATTATTATAACATTTATTTCAAACTGAAAAAAATACCAAAGGAGTAATCTGGGGGGCTTGGTGTCTCATGGTGGACTCCTATTTGCTTTTGCCCCTTTTCTTCTTTGGGTCTTACCTTCCAGCATGCTTAAACTTCTAGTTATAGAAACCCATGGCAACACTCACTGCCCAGAATAACTATGTTTACTCAGATAATGAAAAGTGGTGTGATAACCTTATCTCCTGGGATAATTAGGTTATGTCCAAAAAGCCAGGCTCCTTAAAGATCCTTTTCAATGATCTCCATGCTTGATACAGGGCACTGACTTTACTACAAAAATATTTAAAACACTGTGGCTTTTCATACTTTCACAACTTTTTATTTTATGTTCAGCTGCTACTCAAAAAACTAACTTTGTGCAGTATTCCAACCAATACATCATCACATAAATACATCTTTTACACAAGCAAGTGCACTTGAAGAAATTCCAGTTGAAGGCATACAAGAACCTCCAAGGTTACCCAGGAAACCTATTCTGACGAGTTATGTATATGTCAAAACACATGAGTCTACATCTTCATAAAACTGTGTGACTGAGAGTGCATCAGGGGTTAAGCTACGTAAACAAACAAAACCAGCAATAATGGCAACAGAAATATTCACAATATTGGAATCAAAAGTAACTATTTGTGACATCTAATGTTGATTGGTTATCCATAATTTTTTAAAGCCTTCATATTAAAAACAACGAAAGAAAAATACATGAACCAAGTATACTATGTAAAATGGATAAATGAAAGCAGAGAAAAGAAAGCAAGCAAGAATAAATATCTACTCCAAAACCCAACTCTAAAATGAGATGCATAGGCTCTTTAAATCACAAAATCTGTGTGGCTTACTAATGGAAGGATCCTTAGAGATCATCTTGTCCAATCTACCTTCCAACGTGGAAATTTATTATCCATCATACCTAATACCAAACTGACGCAGTCCAGCAGAAACACTCCGGCCTGAGGGTATGCACTGATTCCATTGTTGGACAGCTAGCTCTATTTGTTACAGCCCAACTTTTGACGGATGTGTAAGACTTGAAGACATTAAGACCCAGAAATGACTCTATGATTATACTATGATTATAATGACTATATGATTATACCTCATTATAATTACTACAGCCTCCATAAATATATGCTACTCAAAGTGTAAAAAGTCACATCACCAGAAGACAAACATAATGTGAACCCCTATCCCAAGGATAATTTATCTGCCATATGCACAAAACCCAGTCTCACGATATTCGAGTCTGGGTCCTCTCTGAGAAACAGACATCAAGATCTGATGACATGTGCAAGAAATTTATTGGGTGAGACACCTGTGAAGGAAGCGGGGATGGATTCTTTGGGGAGTTGCGATTGTTTTGTGTCTTATGTGTGGTGGAGGTAAAAGAAGTTATGCCTATGTAAAAACACATAGAACTGTGCACCAAAAAAGTTAATTTAACTATATGCAAATTTTTAAAATTAGAAAATATATATTTAAAAATTTGGAGGGAGGTGTAGGAAGCTGAGAAGCATCAGACTGGGATACAGATTCAACTCTGTGAAGGAGGCAGTGGCGGCAGTGGGGGCGGGGAAGGAAGGAAAGAAGGGACGTAGGGAAGGAGGGAGAGAGGGAGAGAGGGAGACGGGGAAAGGAAAGAAGATTTTAAATATGTGATAACACATGATGTTCCAAAAGGTGAAGAAAAACAAGCCATCTCACAGATTGCTGGAGGCAGTCTACAATGGTAAGGCTACCAAGAAGGACAAGTTGGACAGCTCTATCAAAATTAGAAAGGCACAAGCCCTCTGATCCAGCAATTCTACTTTTAGGTATTTACATGACAGAAATATGTAGACATATGTAAGATGATGTGTCTATAAAACTACTAATTGCAAGATTGCTTATAACAGCTAAAGCTGAAAAAATTCAGCTCAGTGTCAATAATAGGGGACAAGTTAAGTTAAATACCTTGTGTTCCATTCATTTAAGGGAATACCATACATTCTTGAAAAATACTGATGCTCATATGTACTGATGTAGAGATATTTCCACTGAATGAAACATTGCAAAAATATGCTATCATTTGATCATCTGTATTAAAAAGATATATATGGTTGTCTATGCATAAAGTATGTCTAAAAAAGAAGAAAGCAACGATAGCATCAGATGCCTCTTAATATAAAGGAACTGGCTGTTTGGGCAAGAGAAGTTGGTGGGAAATGTCCCACTGTAAATCCTAGTGGAAAATTTTGAAATTTGAATCATGTAAATATATTACCTGTTTTGAAAGGTAAGCAGACTCTATTTTAATGAAGATGAAAAAGATCATTCTAAATGTTAGGTGAAGAATACGGTTCATTAGGGAATAAGTGTCAAGGCAGGAAGACCTCTTCAGGAATGGTGGTAGCAAAACAGGGGGTCTCCGTGGGGCTGACAGACCCTGCATACATGCTAAAGATGCAGCCAACAGGAGTTGATACTGTAACTAGATATAATGGATCGGGGGAAGGGGACTCAGGCTGGACTGACTTTTGGCTTGAGTATCCAGATAAACAATGTTGGCATCTGTTGAGATGGGTATGACTGAGTTACAAACAGCTTAGCAGGTGTAAGAAGACAAAAACAAGAATTCTGTTTGGGACACATTAACGTAGAGATGTTTGTTAGCCTTCCGAATCAAGAGAGTAACAGTACATCGGAGTCCATAAACGTGCCTACTGAGATCAACAGTGCTTTTAATTTGCGGTTCTTCAGCTGCAGTGAGACGGGGCATGCTTCTTAGGAGTCCTGGTCATTGTGATGTATAACACTGTGACTATCTGTTCATCATGTTTGCTCATTTGCCTATTGGGCATTTTGTTCCTTATTATTTGTAAGTGCTGTTAGCATATTCAAGAAAATTGGCCCTTTTATCACTTACATTAAATGGTTTTCTTCAGTTCATCAATTTTACTTTTACATTGTTTATATCATTTTCCCTAGAGGAACTCTAAATTTTTATGTGGTCATATTTACTAGTTTTTCTATGGCCTGTGGCATATATTCTTTTCATAATCAGGAAAAACAAAGACAAATCTCATCAGTAATTATTAATGTGAATGTAAATTCTATAACATAAAAAATACATTTTATATAATTTCAGAAGTTTTGTAGTACTTACACAAGTGTTGAGGGCATTCATTCGTCACTTTTGTAGTTAACCCACTGGAATATCTTTAATAAAGTAATAGGATTTTTCTTTATTCCTTAGAAAAATTGGATATTTAGGGATATTCTTCAATTCAAAGCTCATGATCAACTAAGGATTCTTTAGAGGAATGGTACGTATTATTTTTTACTTACAGCATTAAAACTCAGCTAGAGATAACAATTGTGTTTGCATAGCTTATTTTTAAAACATGTGGGCACAGTGACTTTGTGCAATTATTTTAGAAAACACCAAAGTAGTATGAGAGACACTGCTATTTTTTAAATGCTACTCAGCACAACTAATGACTTATAAAATAGGTAATTATTTCCTTTGAGGTCAGAAGTAGACTTAAATGTTACAGCAGAAAGCCAAAATAAATGTGATTGGTTTTTCTCAAAATAGTAAATTAGCACTTGACTCCCACCTGCACACTGGTATTTATCTTCCTCTCCACAACTAGTAACTCAATTTGATGCAGTAGCAGGGTACTGGGATGCCACACGTGGTTTAACTCACCAAGGAGACAGCTGCTTTGTACTGACACCCACTACACTTGTCTTTACCCCAACAACTGTTCACATTAATCTGAGTTAACTACCCTTTGGAGCAACCTGTTCAATCTCAGTTAGTCGCCTACTGGAGTGCACAGACACAGGTGATTGAGATTTGAGGGAACCACAGTCACACTGACAGAAATGGAATCTCACCCACTGCATCTTCAGTCTGGCTGGAGAACCTGAAGGAGCTAAAGGCTTGTTAGAAAATCCTAAAGAACCATAATCTTCTATCGCATATGCAAAGCCTGTTTTACGTCAAATGATTGTCAGTGGCTATTAAGTTGCATTCACACAAATCGCTAACAAATTAATATCTGACATTAAGAGGGGTTTATTTCAGTCTTTTGTTTTTCTTAAATTATAAAATGAATTGCTCTTTTATTTTTGAAACGTGCATACACTTTAAAAATGAAAGTGACTCCCCTCTCCACCCAACCCCCTCCTAATTCCACTCTCCAGGGGAAAGTGCTGTTAATATTTTGGTGTACAACTTTGCAGGCTCTTAAAGCTGCATTACTACTCATACATATGTATATGTACGTATGTATGAATATGTATGATTGATATATATGATGCACATATCAATCTAGCCTGCTGTTTAAGCAAAAATGGTATCATACAAAAAGTTCTACAATTCCATTTGTACTCAATAATGCACAAAACTCCTTCCGTTAAAGGAACTACAGTTCTACCACATTTTTTTCTTTTGGTGTCATGGTGTACCACACCACGTGCATATCAGAATTTATGTAAACATTCTCCCTTGGGGGGCCATTCCAGTTGTCTCTGTTTTTCATAATTAACAATAATGCATCTGTGAATATGTACCACCATACACTTGCTCATCTATTTGTGAGAGACCGAATATGAGAAGTGAAGTTTCTGGGTCAGAGAACATGTCCACTTGCATTTCTGATAGGTATTATCAAATGCCTTTTCAAATGGTGGTTGTTTTACTTGACATTCTACCAACAAGAAAGACTATTTTATAAGGCTGCATATTCAAAAGTTATTTTAAAAGCCTCATTACATGTAAGACACCATATGGAGCATGTCACAAGATAAACACATCAGTACTCTCATATAAAAGTAGATTTTGGCCAGGCGTGGTGGCTCATGCCTGTAATACCAGCATATTGGGAGGCCGAGGTGGGTGGATCACCTGAGGTCAGGAGTTCAAGACCAGCCTGACCAACATGGTGAAATCCCATCTCTACTAAAAACACAAAAATTAGCCGGGCGTGGTAGTGCATACCTGTAATCACAGCTACTCGGGAGGCTGAGGCAGGAGAATCATTTGAACCTAGGAGGCAGAGGTTGCAGTGAGCCAAGATCGCACCATTGCACTCCAGCCTGGGCAATAGAGTGAGACTCTAGTCTCAAAAAAAAAGAAAAGAAAAGTAGATTTTAAGGAAAAAAACGCATAATCACCTACTAAGAAGGTCTAGAAAGTGTGATTAACTCTTTAAAATCTAATAAGATATGAACTCTACCTCCTTGACCACCCAGTGTCTAAAGGGTTATTCCTGGGGTCAGCTTTGCAGAAAGTGCTTCCTTATGGAGTGGTTGTTAGTTGACTTTGCCAGACAGCCTCTGCGTTTTCATTCTCTAACGGAGGCTGGCAAGACTTTGTATAGAGATAGAAACACCAATTCTAGTTTGTTCCTTGAGAAGGAAGGCCAAGTGACTGGTTTTCTGAGGCTGTGTGTATCTCCCAGGCACAAGCCTCTGTCCCCAGGAGAGCCTGCACGCGTGGCAGGACACATTTGTGGTGGGGCTTTTTACGCTCCCTGTCATCACTTTTTATGATTTTCTCAGTAATTCCTTTTCTTTACTGAGGAAATGAACACACATAAAACTGGAAAAACGAGCAAAGAATTACATAAAATCTACACAAGGACTTCCTGGCAAAAAGCTTCACTAACATAATAGATTTAAGTTCTTACAATCAGTGGTTCCCAGGCCTTTGAATTTCATGGACCAGAATTTTTTTTTTAAGTGAAGAATTCAACATAGAAACAACTATTATTTGTTCTTTAAAAACATTTTTGAAAACCTCACTCAAACAAATAACCTAGCAAAACTGTTTTATAAAATAACGCCTGGCTGGGTATGAGGACTCATGCCTCTAATCCCAACACTTTGGGAGGCCAAGGTGGGAGGATCACTTGAGGCCAAGAGTTCCAGACCAGCCTGTGCAACAAAGTGCGACCCCCATCTCTACTTTCAAAAAATAATAAAATTAAATTAAAATAATGGGTATTTTAACACCAAAAAGAAGAGTTTTGCCTAGACAGCCTCCCAGACATAAGAACAGACACTACATCCACCATTTCCCTTTTTTTTTTTTTTTTTTTTTTTTTGGCGGAGGGTTAAACACTCACTAATATTTAGGAATTAGTCCTCTGCAATTTTTCACTTGTCCTGATAAAATCCAGATTTTACAAAGTTTAAACACCACAAAAATCACAGGGCTGTCTATAGAAGGAAGAATTCCTGTTACTCTTAGCTGAATATTCCCAATAATTCTTTGACTTTCTTTCTTTGTCTTATCAAACCAATGAGAATCTCCAGGCATGCATGTTTTAGGTCAAATTAAGGAAACGCCCCTATGCCTGATCCTATTTGGAATTTCCATTTTTACTCATGTATGTCCCACGACAATAAAATTATTGAAAAGCAAGTGCCACCAGTGTGGATGCATGGTCTCCACAAATCCACTCTTCACTGAGGAGATTTCCCCACATCCACTAAGGTGTGGGTCGCCTCCAGCTGCAGCGCCATACCTCATGAGATCAGCAGAGCTCAGGCTGAATAGCATTCCTCCTTTCCTCCTCTCTACTCACACTTCCTCAGAGGCTATCCAGCATGATAATGAAGAACACAGGTGGTGGGGTCAGACAGCCACTGACTACCTCTGTCACTCTGGATGGGTGACCGTCCTCTCTGAGTATCACTTCCTCCTCTGTAAATGAGAACAATACTGCTCACTGCATAGGGCTGCTTGTGTGAGAACAGCACGAGCAGGCCCACATGGTGTTGGAAAAGGCCCCGACGCATAGCAAGGGACAAATAGTGCTGGTGATTGACACTAGCCCCTGCCAGGCTCTTGGGCATTAGGAATCCATAGTCAAGCAATGAAAGGGTCCTGCCCTCATGGAGTTTACACTCTAGCAGGAAAGACAAATATTTAATAATCATGCAAACTGAAATTAGAACTCTGATAGGTGATACTAAGAAGGGGGTAAAGGTGTTCCTGAAGCCTGGGGTCTGGGTCTGTCTGTGGAGATCCAGGATAAGCCACCACTCCTGAAACTTTAAAGATGAGTAGGAGTTAACAATTTGGCACAGGGAGAAAGGAGCAGGGGTCCAGGGAGAAGGAGCTCACCCTTCCTTCCTTCCTTCCTTCCTCTTCCTTTTTCCTAAATTGTAAATGTCACCTACTCTAAATAAGGCAGTGTCTTAAAGAACAACCTAATAATCTATGTACTGGTATAAACCTTAAACAAAGTTCAAATTTACTCCAATGCACAAAAATTCAGTTAATCTCTATGAAACAATCAAGGATGGCATTATATTCTAGAATTCTTCTGCTGGCCCTCCTCCAAAGCGACATATGAAAAGCTGAAGCAGCATACATTTAGCTTGTTTCACAGAAGAATACTTATCTTCTAAGTGCACAAAGTAAAACATTAGAAAGGGATTCAGTACAGAATATTAAAACTCTGTATTTTTCAACTGCCTGCACTGAGGAAAGATAGAAAATCTATCCCACAAAAAAGTATGAGTTTGGACCAGTTTGTTTAAATTTAACAAAACAAAGTTCATCATGGCTGATGAATCAATCTTTGTTTTGAGTCCCTATTTTTACGCAAAACCGCACTTTGCCCGACAGCATGAGCTACTTGTGAAATAAACACTTCAAGCCTCAAATTTCAAAGGAGTTATAAGTATGTTGGGGGCAGCAATGCAGGAATAACTTTCCCACCCCCTGGTCACTATCAACTTGGAGAAAAATTATTTCCAATTTGCCTTCTACTTTGTACCCTTGTGGTGTCTCAGATTTCACAGTCCCTGAAGGATGTGCTGTCCGTGCACTCACAAACACCCCACTCTGGCCATCTCCACTTTGCTACAGATCACAGTCTCTTTGCTTCCAGTAACTTTTCTCTATGTTCCAGGGTCACAACCCCTCCTCATTATCCCCAATTTCCTTGGGGTAAATTTCTAAGAAGTGTCTTTATACCTTAAATCCTTGTTTCTTTTTAAAGCAAGAAAATGCTGGCATGAGGTCAGATGCAAATCACTTTGCATCCTCAAAGCAACTAAATATTGTCCCATTGTAGAGATGGGATGTCCTTACCATAGTGACAGTGACAGCATACTCTCTCATGGCTCCCTGCAGAGTCCTTGGAAGCGATGTGACAGGTTTTCATAAAGAGGGAAGAGAAAAGGACTTAAAACACTGCCTGCAGGAGCCTCTACACCCTTATTACTTTCTGGGTTATTGCCTCATGAGGAAAAAGAAATTCAATCATTTGTCGGGGGGAAAAAGTGTGCTTTTTCTTTTCAAAGTCTACCCTTTTATGAAATATTTAAGCAAACATTTATTTACTTCTAAACCACCAGGAAAAGAAAGAAAAGCAACCAACATTTAACTTCACAGAAGAAATAAACATTTCACTAACTGTTATACCTTTAAATTTGTTTTGATATACAGAAGATCATGAATACAGTCATCTATATTTTCCTAGTCAGTGCAACAAAAAATAACACTCACTAATAGATCAGAAAATGGAGATGACAACACTTAATTCCAGAATCCAGGAATTTTTTCCCATAGTTTCCTGTAATCCCTTTAAGACTCTAAACAAAGTATTCTACCTTTTTTCTTTAAGAAAACAAAACGAATTTCATGCTTATTTGATATTTCTAATAAATGATTTTAATAATAGACTAAGCCAAAAAGGAAGCTGGTCTATATTCATTAAGAAAAATGCAACCATAATCACATTTCGTGAATGGACAACTTTCACATATCCACACTCTCAATGCCTACAAAGTTTAAATGGAAAGATGGATCGTTCAGGAAAAGCGTTGAGAGCAGCATCCAGACCTCAGCACTGCCCTCACACTGAGCCCTTCAAAAGGACGGCACGAGGGGCCAGGTGCAGTGGCTCATGCCTGTAATCCCAGCACTTTGGGAAGCCAAGGAGGGTGGATCACTTGAGGCCAGAAGCTCGAGGCCACCCTGGCCAACATGGCAAAACCTGGTGTCTACTAAAAATACAAAAATTAGCTGGGCGTGGAGGCTGAAGCAGGAGAATCGCTTGAACCCAGGAGGCGGGGGTTGTGGTGATCTCAGATCGCAGCACTGCACTCCAGCCTGGGTGACAAGAGTGAAACTCTGTCTCAGAAAAAAAAAAAAAAATTAGCCAGGTCTGGTGACACATGCCTGTAGTCCCAGCTGCTAGGGAGGCTGAGGCACACGATTCATTTGAACCCAGGAGATGGAGGCTGCAGTGAGCTGAGATTGCACCACTGCACTCCAGCCTGGGCAACAGAATGAGACTCTGGCTCAAAAAAAAAAAAAAAAACCAACCAACCAAGGATGGCACCAGGGACCACTTTGTAGGGTGTAAACAACAAATTGCTCAGCATAAGAACCATTTTGAAAACACAATGAAGGAAAACCTGAGATCACCATGCTTCACTGGGTCTCCAGGGCCCAGACAGAGGTGACGCACCAGGTGTGCGTGACGACGTCACCCTACAACCTTTAGTCCACCTTCATGCTCCAGCCACTGCCTGCAGCTGCGCCCAGACAGCACCTGACTGCAGTTGCCGTGCCTCACTCACTTTCCGCCTTCATATGCCTCATACACTGCCAGCTCGTGGGACGCCCATGGAGACTGACTTAGCCATCCGGCTCATACACAAGCCTGGGGGAGCAAGGCAGCTGGCTCAGGGGGTCAGGCTTGACTAGGGAGAACCAGTCTTTTGGGCAGATGCCTTTGAGGCCCATTCGTCACAGCTCCTTGGAAGGTCTGCAGCAGGGTCCACACCGGGTAGCTTGTTGAGGTGACCAGCCGCACAATCAGGGACTTCCGGGCATGGCTCCATGTCTTGATAACATGCCAGTGGCTAGAACACTCCTGAGCAAAAGTATCCTGTCAGCAGATCACGTGTTCCCTGAGAAATAAACTGCTGCTGAGAAGCTACTATTAATAACAGATGGCGGACAGTTTGCTGTGATACCTGGACTGAGTACCTCGGTGCCTCTGCTGTCTCTGGGCCATCTGGATTTCTAGGTGTGACTGTGGCAGACGTGTCTCGGGTGCAGAGGAAATGGAAACAAGATGGTCCTGCTTCTGAACTCGGCCTCATGCCCTCATGCCCCAAGTCTGAAGTTCTTTTGGTCTCCTCTTCTGTACTTCTGGAAGCTTCCACTAGTCTCTTACCATGCTCACATGAACTAAAAGCCAGATGCCTAAATGACTAACATGATAAAAGATTGGCCTGTAAGGCCACAGTGACAAATGTCACCTGAAAGACGAAGGGGAAATAATTTGCATTGAAGGGTGCGCTTGCTTATCCTCACCCCTTGGCTCATCCAAGTAGCAGAAGAGTTTGGGTTGCATGAAGCTTCCAACCATTCAATGCAGGCTGAGCTCCACAGCAGTGCCTAGGGGAGCACAGCTCAGATTGTGCTGAGAGCCACCTCTCTTGTCTCACAGGTCCCATCCCTGGGCTGAGGCTCTTTATCGAGGAAAGAAAGAAATGTCCTGTCTGGCCTCACACACCTGAAAGTCGAGAAGCAGAAGAATGGCCGGGTGCAGTGGCTCACACTTGTAATTCCAGCACTTTGGGAGGCCGAGGCAGGTGGATTGCCTGAGGTCAGGAGGTCCAGACCAGCCTGGCATGGCCAACATGGTGAAACCCCCTCTCTACTAAAAAATACAAAAATTAGCCAGGTGTGGGGCCGGGCGCGGTGGCTCACGCCTGTAATCCCAGCACTTTGGGAGGCCAAGGTGGGTGGATCAGGAGGTCAGGAGATCCAGACCATACTGACTAACACAGTGAAACTCTGTCTCTACTAAAAAATACAAAAAAATTAGCCAGGTGTGGTGACACATGCCTGTAGTCCCAGCTACCCAGGAGGCTAAGGCAGGAGAATTGCTTGAACCCGGGAGGCGGAGGTTGTAGTGAGCTGAGATCCCGCCACTGCACTCCAGCCTGGGCAACAGAGCGAGACTTTGTCTCAAACAAAAAAAAAAAAAAAAAAAAAGAAGCAGAAGAACATGTCTCATGCACACTTGTGCTTCCTGCCCCCTCCCACACCCAAGGGAGGAGGATGGTGCTCATGCAGAAGACATGTAATCTCTTCTTCCAGAGTTTTTTGTTTTATACCAGCCTATCTCTTACTTCCCTTGTTCGGCCAGCAGGATAAAAATCAATGGACATTTCTATCGCCAACCTGCTGCAGCTGCTTCTCAGAACCACCATCCCTTTATGTAGAGGAAGAGAGAGGCAATTTAAAATGGAAAAGGGAGAACTGCGAAGAGGAAGGACCAAAGGTGACTTCTCCCTTTATCCTTCCTGAAGGCCAAAGGTTGGAGACAGTAAAAGGAAACTTTGCTGGGTTTGTAGAGGCAAAGAGGGATATTATGGACTTGAAAGAACTTTTCAGATGCGGTTGGTTACAAGAATGAAAATCAGGCAGCAATGAGCCAAGGACACTCAGCAATGCCATCAGCAGTACTTAATTCCACAAATAGAGTTATCAGGTGACTATAAGGTACTCAGAGAAAAGGTTCATATTTTAGATATAAAAAGATTTATCTCTTGGGTCTAAGAAACTACATATTTCAAAGAGAAGAATAATCAGCTTATAACTAAGAAGACAGACTCAAGAAATATGAGCAGTGAAGAAGATAAATGGGGAATACTGAAAGTTTTTTGAATTTGCATATTTAAGCTGGTGATAAGAAAATAAGAATTGTGTTATTTCATCCTTTGACGAAAGCGTCCATGCATGACCACTCCTTCCATAAGGAAGCCCTGGTACACACAGAGCCTAGATTATCCACTGATAACCCCACACCATCTCAACGAAGCTAAATAAAGATGGAGAAGAAGGGGCTTTCCACCTCTCACCAGCTGGCCTCATCCAGTGTCTTCAGGAAAACCAGCCTCCTAGGCTTTGACTGGACTTCCCCATTTGTGAGATGAGGGAGAAAACTCAATGACCTCTATATCCTCTTCCCACTCTGCAATGTGGTGACTGAATCGCATGATGGATGATTACATGGCCTTTACCCAATCCCCTCCTTACTGTTACTGTCCATCTATTTCGTCTTTCCTGCCTCATTGTGGAGATGCTGCAATGTGCCACTGTGGCTGTCTGGACTACATTTCCCAGAATCCCATTCTCTCCATGTCTCCCATTGTGGTGCACTATAAATAAGAGAGGTTCTTAGGTGGGATCTGGAAGATGGGCTGAAGCAGCCACCCTTCATTCTGCAGCTTACACAGGCTGTTGTCATCTACAGCCTGGGCGTTGGCATCAGGCAACAGCTGGGCCTGCAGCTGTGCTGTGTCCCCTGGCCTTTCCTCAACATCTCTGACCCAGGGCCAGGTGTGCTTGTTTAGCACCCTGGTGGGGAACCCTGGCTTCTGCAAGACCCCAGTAAGCCCAGAGGCAACAACAGTGACACAAGTTCCAGCATCAGGGTTGAGATTTTCTTGCTCTCCCCCACTTCATATCAACCTTCTCTTCTCCAGAGCCTGCCATGTGGACTTCAAGCTCCAGCATCCAATGTGAGACAACAGCCTTATAAACACTGCTTGATCAGCCCTCACAATTGCAGAAGGTCAAATCCCTATAACAAAGCTGCTTGTATATATGATCAGACATATGTGGGTTGGAACCTTGAATAAACCTCTTAAATGGGGATTGTAATTGTGAAGATCTCATAGGATCACTGGGTGGTTTAAGGGAGATAGTGAATGTAAAGTTGGCATGGAATGCACAGTAAATACTGTGTTATTATTAACTAAAAATCCCAGTTACCCTGCTGAGAAAATCTCTCTCATTTTTTCATAGCTGTAGAATCAAGCGAAGTAGGCATTTTGCCTATGTCGTACCAGGGACTAAGCTAACAGAACCCTGGCTCCACTCTAAACCTAAGAGAATCTAATCCTATTTTTATTAGAGACCAGAACATAGTAGCTAACAAGTACTTAACCTCTCCCTCCAAGGAAATGATGGCGAAGCCAAAAAGAACGATACCAAACTGGAAACCATTGATTTCAGTAAGATATTTCACTGTCACTGAAGGAA